>NC_000001.11:233608364-233759879 GCF_000001405.40 Homo sapiens
TAGAACATTCTGGGTATCCCTGCTTGTGAATCCAAAAATTTTCAGAGGCATCTCAGGGTGACTTTTTGCTTCACTTGGTTCATTCTTTCCCTCCTCCTCCCCTTGACCTTATAGATGCTGGAACCATAACATCTCAGACTTGGAAAGAACCTTAAATGACATCGGCTGAATGCTCTTCATTCTACCTCTCTAATTTGTCATTGTTTGCCTTCGGCTTGAACACTCATGAAAGGGAGCTCACTGTTTCTAGAAGCAGCTCATTCCATTGACAGTCAACTCAAATGAATAGAATGTTCTCTCGTACAGTGAATTTTAAATGTTACATTCTGTATCTTCCACCCATTAATCTTAGCACTGCCCTTTGAAGACATACAAAATAAACTCACATTTTTTTTTCCATGTGTAGCTACCAGATCCTCCTAAGTTTTCTCTTCTCAGGGAAAGCACCTGGAATCCTTCAGCCACTTCTCTAAGCAGAATTTCCAGACCCATCACCAGCCATGTGCCTCGCATCTGCGTCTGTGCCAGGTCTTTCAGGTTCTTTGTACTGTGCCCCACCTGAACCACCCAGCACTCTCTGGAAGTGGTGGCTGTCTGCTTCTTCAAGGGCCCCATGTCACAGATAGAGCCTGGGAGCTCATCAGCTGGTGGGAGAGCTTCAGCTTGCTATTAATGCATGTGGCCCCTCTGTCCATCCGAATGCTAACTTTTTTCTTTTTTTAGGATTGCCATAAAATACACATAACATAAAATTTAGCATTTTAACCATTTTTAAGTGTACAATTCAGTGGCATTAAGGACATCCACATTGTTACGCAATCACAACCACCATTTATCTTCAGAATTTTTTCATTTTGAACAATTGAAATTCCATACCCATTAAACAATCAATCCCCCTTCTCTCTTCTTCCAGCCCCTGGCAACCACCATTTCGCTTTCTGTTTCTGTGAATTTCACTACTCTAGGTACACATACCAGTGGAATCATATAGTATTTGTCTTTTTGTGAATGACTTATTTCACTTAGCATAATGTCCTCAAGGTTCATCAAATGTAGAGCAGGTGTCAGAGTTTCTCTCCTTCTTAAGACTGAATACTATATGGCTGTATGTATGTATCATAATTTTTATCCGTTTATCTGCGGATGGACACTTGGGTTGCTTCCACCTTTCAGTTACGGTGAATCATGCTGCTATGAACATGAGTATACAAATATCTGTTCAAGTCCCTGCTTCCAATTATTTTGGGTACATACCCAGAGGTGGAATTGCAAATGCTAACTTTTTGTACTTGTTGCTGATTGACTGGATTTTCCCAACCCTGTATTTGTAAATTTCACTTTTTGATCCCAAGTTCCTATAGAACCACTGTCTCTACAAATTATTCTCATCATCTCAACCTGTTGAGGTCATGAAGCCCATTGATGCCCAAGTATCATACAACACAGTAGTGATCATTTACATCATTAGCTCTACATCAGATTAACTTGCAAGGCTCTGTGCCAAGCCCAGAGTTTGTTTCTCAGAAAGCATGGTCACCAGTCCACAAATTATGTCAGTTAGAGGGGACACTGATGCAGGAAGCAGAAAGAAGCCATGGCCTCTTCCCCCACTCTCTTTACTCCCCCACTCCTACTCCCCTTGATCCCCTCTTTTGTATCTCTGCACTCTTCTCTGAGTTTTCTTCCATATTCCCATTCTCTTCTAAAACATGCTTGGGGATAGCGTGTGGCATGCTAGGTGGGGGTGAGTCAGCAGAAATGTCAGCTTGTATGGTCCCTTTAATCCGTGTTGGGAGGTCCAGAGAGAAGTAGCTAGTCAGCAGTGAGTTACACACAGATCATGTGGAGTAAAGATTTCAAACTTTAGAAGAAAAAATTCTAACATTTCCGAGATTGCTAACTTCTTTGAAGACAGGAGCATCTGTCTAGAGCAGTGGCCCAGGACGAGGAAGGAAGGCAGCCAACCTGTGTTATCAGGATTCCCATCAACTCAGACAGCCAGAACCTCAGAAGTCTTTGCATTTCCCAGCCCCATATCCAGGCTCCACTCAACGTACCTCGTCCTGCAGGATGAGATCTATGCCCCCATCAGACCACTTCCATGATATTTCCAGTTTCTACTTGTAGTCTGAGGATAATATGATTTAAAAATATTTGGTATCCTTGGCCTAGTTGTGATGTAGAGCTGGGGCAGAGTCTCAGCCAGAGAAGTGAACTATGGAGAAAATGGCAAATTTGTCTGAAGAAAACTTCTAATAATAATTTTTAAAATTCAATGTAGTCAAGATGCATGTTGTTCCAGTTATCTATTATTGTATAACAAGCTAGCCAAAAACTCGATGGCTTAAGACAGCCATCTGATGATATCTCAGGATTCAGGCAGAACTCAGCTGGGAGTTCTGTTCCTGGGTAGATAGACAGAGGTAAGACACCCAGTGGTATTCAGCAGGTGGATGCCCTGGTTTGAGAGTTGAAGATGGCTACACTCATCTATCTGGTGTCTTGGCGAGAATGATAAGGAAGCTGGGCTCACTGGGCTGTCCCTTGAAACACCTACATGTGGCCTCTCCAGCATGACAGCCTCAAGTTAATCAGACATCTTATGTGATGGCTCAGGGCTCCAAGAGGGGATTGTTCCAGTGAACAAAGTTGGAGGCTGCTGGTCTTTTATCATCTAACCTTGGAAATTACCTAGTATCATCTCTTATGTACTCTGTCAGTTGAAGTAGTCACAAGTTTCAAGGATAGGGGACAGAAACCCTACCCTTTGGTGAGGGACTGTCAAAGAATTTGCAACCATATTTCAAAGCTGCCATATACATGTTGGGGGAACCAGCCCCACACCAACCGGCGGGTACCCCGAGTCCAGCGGAGACACAGGAGTTAGAAAGAGGCAGAATAAGCATTTAAAAGGTGGGTCCAGGGGACCGTTGTGTAGGAGGCTTGCTCATGGCCCAGAGCTCTTGGGCTCCAACTAATTTATTGTTTTACAAGCTCTTTGTTCTTAGGGCAGATGGGAGGGGGAGGAAGGGATGAGGAAAAGGATTAATCAGTGAAGGAGAACTTGTGAGTCATTCAATAAGATGTACAGCAGTGGTGGTCTCTGTGAATTTCCTTGAGCAAAGGCGTGTGTCTAAACTACTTAAGATTGCGTGTGTCTAAACTACTTAAGATCTTTAACTTATTGGGACTGAAAGGGGTGGGAGCGGGTTTCAGGAGGAGCCAAGATGTTTGATTATACTCCACTGCTTCCAGGGCGTGTTATCTCCCTGAGCAGCCTGTGGAATGCCCCCGAGCAGTTATGCTCTCAGGGCATAAAGACATGAAGGCAATAAGGAGACTTTTCTCCTCAGAGGTCACCCATGGCTCCCCATGGGTGTCTCACACAGGGGAGAACAACTCAACTGGCACTCCAGAAACTCTTTTTCCCACAATACATGTATGTATATTTGAGTGTGATGATATAACCACACCTGCACCTGCAGTTCATCACAAGTACCCCACACAATCTGGCATTCAAAGGGTTGTATGTCTTGGGAAGAGGAACTCACATCCTGTTGGGGAATCACAGGTTTCATGAGTGAGCCAGGTCCTGAAGGATATAAACTGTGTTACAGATGGAGATGGAGGAGGAACTGTCCAAGCAGAAGGAATCAGGTGAGCAGAGACATAGGGAGAAAAATGATCATGACAGGCAGGAGGAGAATTCTGAGGGTCTGCTACGGCCGGGGGTAGCCTCATGAATGAAGAGGTCTCTGAACAGGGCAAATAGGCAAAGATCAAGGATAGGATAGGGCAAGCAAGGGTTACAGAGCAGGACAGGGAAGGACATTGTAGGATGGAGACTTGAGGGAGAAGGAGGAATTCAAGTTCTAAAAGAGTAGGGCACTTGCTGATGGGGAAGGGTTCCCAGAGGCGGAAGGACTGAGAGTGGTAAGTGCTTCCTTTCACCTTGAAAATAAGGAGGTACATTTTTTCCTTAGGGGTAAGAGCAAAGGGAAGAAATGGATTACCGATGAGTAAATTTTGAAGTACAGAGAAGTAAAGTGGAGGGCTGGCTTCAATCTTTTGAGTAACGTAGGAGGTAAGGCTATTGACTAAAAGTGAAAAATCACTGATATATATGTTAGACATTTGCACAAGTTTCTATGAAAATACAAAATATGACTTGTTTAGAGAACTTCAGTAAAGTAGGCAAATGTTCAGCTAGGTGTTGGAATGATTAATTGTACAATTCAGTTTTGTGTATTTTAAATGTTTTTCCTGATTACAAAAATAATATATATCCACTGTAGAAAATTTGAAAAATATTAAAAGGTACAAGAAAGGAAAGTCATCTATATACTCTACTATTACCCAAAGACAACTGCAAGGAGATAGTTTTATTCCTATGCAGTTGATTAATAATGCAGATGTCATTTTATTTTGTAACAAAATACAAATATTTTACATATTTGAGATTCTACACAGTTTTGCTTCAATAGTCTTTAGACACAACTTTAATGTGTTTAATGTCTATATGGTGTCCATGCTGTAGAGATGCCATAACTTATTTAACCATTCTCTATTTTGGAATATTTAGATTGTTCTGAGTCTTCATTATTTCATCTATACCGTGTGTGTGTGTGTGTGTGTGTGTGTGTCCCACATGTGTATGCACTATATTATACAACTACATGTATGTATATATAGATACCGTCTATGACCAGTCTTTGTAAGTAAGTGCCTCTCTGATTGTTTTTTCTTAGGACATATCACTGAATCAGAACAAATAAACCCTTTCAAGGTTCTTGAGACGTGTCGCTAAATTGCCTTTCCAGAAAGGGTGTACCAATTTTTATTTTCATCCACAAGCAGGCGGCTCGCTGACCCTCGCCCACATTTTTGTCACTTTAAAAAGAAGTGACAGTTGGGAAAGCTCAGTTTCTTCTGGCAGTTGACACATTTGGGATGTTTTTTCACCAAAAAACCTAAGGTCATGTTTTAGAAAATTCGAACTCAGAAATAGGACTTCTCTGAGACTCTCCTTTTCCCTCAAGTCCTTTTTGTGAGGGGGATGGGTGGGAGAGAGGAGACTGATTCAAGGAGCCTTCCAACTCTGATGTTCTGGTATTTTCACCGTCATTACTGGCACCAGATTGCTCAATCCTTCGACCAATAAGACAAAGAAGGAAAGTACTTCAGCGCTTGCTGTTTTGTAATACTGGCTTTGATTGGGAGAAAATAAGTGGGAAACAAGAGTAGCTTGGACAGGGGGCTTGGACGGCCAGCGCATTGACCAGAAGCGGCCCACACTACACGCGCGCGAACACACACACACACACACGCACACGCCGCGCGCGGTCAGCTAGAGTTTGGCTACTGGACCCAGGAAGGGAGGGAGCGGGAGGAGCTGGTGGCTGTCGGGTCGGGGTCTGGGCGCCACCGAGCGCCCGCCCCACCTCTGGAGTGCGCAGAAGGCGGTGCGTCCCGGGCCCCGGCAGCCCAGCCCAGGCGCTCTGGCCAAGTTTGCGCGCGGTCTCCGCTGACTCTCGGGTTACCTGAGCCGGCAACCACGTCAGCGCCACATCATCTGGGCTTTTTATATTGCAAGGAAACAGGAAAAGAAGGAAGAAAAACATCGCCCGAGAGAGCCAATCGCAGGAAGACGGCGCTGCCCGGAGGAGCGGGGCGGGCGGGCGCGCGGGGGAGCGGGCGGCGGGCGGGAGCCAGGCCCGGGCGGGGGCGGGGGCGGCGGGGCCAGAAGAGGCGGCGGGCCGCGCTCCGGCCGGTCTGCGGCGTTGGCCTTGGCGGCGGCGGTGGAGAAGATGCTGCAGTCCCTGGCCGGCAGCTCGTGCGTGCGCCTGGTGGAGCGGCACCGCTCGGCCTGGTGCTTCGGCTTCCTGGTGCTGGGCTACTTGCTCTACCTGGTCTTCGGCGCAGTGGTCTTCTCCTCGGTGGAGCTGCCCTATGAGGACCTGCTGCGCCAGGAGCTGCGCAAGCTGAAGCGACGCTTCTTGGAGGAGCACGAGTGCCTGTCTGAGCAGCAGCTGGAGCAGTTCCTGGGCCGGGTGCTGGAGGCCAGCAACTACGGCGTGTCGGTGCTCAGCAACGCCTCGGGCAACTGGAACTGGGACTTCACCTCCGCGCTCTTCTTCGCCAGCACCGTGCTCTCCACCACAGGTAGGGTATCCTGCGCGCCCCCTGGCCGCCCCGGCCACCTCGCCCACAACCCACACACCCCGGCCCCGGCGCCCCGGGCCCCTCTAACCCTCCCACCCCACCCCCCACCTTTCGCCATCCCGGCTCCTCCAGCCCGCCTCCCCTCACTGTCCTCCCGACCCTCCGACCTTCCCCTTACTGGCGTCCCCGGCCTCTGCCTGGGTGACTCGGGAGGGCAAGCCCTGCGGAGCCGGAAGCCAGAGAGGTGACTCCAGACGTGACTTGGTTGTTGCCGTCCGTAACTCTGGGGAAGTGGTCCCTAACTTCGGCCTGGGTGGCTGCAGGTGCTTCCTCCCCTTGAGTTCTTTTTTCGCAACCCACTAAGCCAAACTGTCGGGTTTGAATGTGTAGCAGCACCTGGCCGCCGTGCGGCAAGGCAGCGGGATGATGGAAACTCACCACCTTCCTCCCGCACCCATCCCAGAGGCCGAGGCTGCAGTCTGGTAATAATACCTTCTAAAGGGTCACCTTCCGGAGTGTGCCGTCCCTTTGGACCATGCACAGATATTCCAGCTCTTTTGTACCTTGGAGGCAGTTTTGGGGGTAGCCGAGTGACATCACTCTGCTCTTCCCAGGTGACCTCTGGGCGGACAGGCCGATCCGGTTTCTTTTCAGAGTAGGAGGAAGGGTGAGGGAGAGTAAAGGAACCATAGGATTGCCTAAGATCTGACTTAATTGGGGCACCCTGATTCAGCAGTTCCTTCAACTTGAGGTGTGCGAGGCTCCCCATAAACTTCGAAGCGCCACGTCCCCGTACGACTCACCCGCGGGGCGCCCGGCCATGGAGGAGCCTCCTCAGGTGAAAGATGAGGCCGGGCGCATGCCCCAGGGCTCGGTCACTGTGCCAGATCAGATGAATGAAGGCCGAATTTCCCCAGCCGGACCTAGTAAGGCACATACCCAGAGTGGAGATATCAATTGGTATTTGGACAGTGGGAGGAATCTGAAAGAGCGTTCAGCACAGTCCCTTCTTTTGATCTATGAGATCCAATCTTTGAAATAATCCATCTCGTCATGCACAAGGTCACACACTTCCTAGTTACCAGTGTCGTCCTGGAACCTGGGCCTTGTGATTTCTCTGCCAGGACCACTTTGTAACCCCCCACCCTCAACCTTTACAGGTGAATCACATCCCTTTGTGTGACTCCCAACTCTTCCTTCCTCCCCACCCCCCTCCACCACCCAAATTATTGTGTATAATTCCCTTTGGGCTATATCTTGTTGACTATCTTGGTAATTACTTGGTAATGAGTAATAATACACTATTCATGTAGATCACATGAAACAATTATTCAGAGGTCTGGGGTGAATTACTAAACTGATGTAAATCTACCCTGAAATAAACAGAAGTGGAATTCTAGCTTGTATTGTGAGATCTAAAAAACTGTTAAATGTAGCGCTAGACAAGACAGACCTGTTATCTCACTTTCCAAAGAATGCCTGTTCCCTTGCCAATACAATTTAATTTTTCTTTCCATAACTCTGCCTCCATTGTCTTTACCTAGTCCTCTGTTCCTCAGATCATTTAGGAGTCACCATGCCTTTCCTTTGGAGTATATTTGTGCTATATTGAGAGTCATTCATTCTTCCCAGAAGTAAGTGTTTCCATGGGGCTACAGAAAGTTTACAACTGGGTCACAATGTTGGGTAAACATTTCGAAGGATGCTTATAGCGTGTGGTGTTTTCTTACTAATGATATTGTGAGGATAGAACAAGAATAAGAACAGTTTTGAGGAAAAAGGTTTGCTTTTATCTGGGTGGGATTTTTCGTGACTCATGTATAGTCTTAACATCATATTGTCTAATTAAATGTTAAAAATTAGTTTATAATCTTGAATAGATGAAATATTCTTCCCAGAGGAGAATTAGAAAAAGGGATAGTTTCTGTTTAAGAAAGGGGTGGGGTGGGAATAGACGTCTTATTATTGGTATTCAGATTGCTTTGTAGTTCCTAAGAAAGTCTGTATTCATGCAAAACAAGTGTTCATTTAAGAAATCAGTGCAAGGGGCACTTAAGGATAAACTAAATGAAAAAGGTGCCTCTTGGTTTGTAAAGTTAGCACATCAATGAATTCTTGTTATATGAATACAACTATTCTAAATGAAAAGTACTCTTCTGTTGGCTTTGTACTGCCCCATTATTTGACACATTTGATATTTCTTAAGGTTTCAAAATTATAATTACCCATTATTTGATTCATTTGATGTTTTTTAAAGTCTTCAAATTATCATAGGTGCCCTGGCCATGAATCTTATAATGGGTGAGAAATCTTTTCTTCCCTACAAGGGGAAATAAAGAGATGTTAAATTGTGTGCTGGAAACAAACAATATTTTAAATCACTTGCTGGAAGCAGACAATTTTTTAGAGTAAAGCTGATGTGCTTCATTACTAGGAAAATATTTTCTGGAAAAGCGCCAACCAAATAAAATGAGTTGCAATCGCTTTTCGTTTTTTGGGTGGATATTAGACATGTTGTGCTTTTTTTTTTTCTTTTCTTAACACTTCTAGTCCTTTTGAAGGCAAATCACTGAGATAATTGTTACCTAATTAATCAGTACAGTCAATCCTTGACTTATTCAGAATGCTAACAATGAGCATTACAAAGATGCTGTTATTGGTAGTCATTGTTGTAACACAGGCCCATGAGTGCTTTTATGTCAGAATCTTCTCACCCCAGAATGTACAAACTTCCGTTTCTGGAAGGAACTGAGTAAAGTCTTCATGGTCTACTTGGAAGAAGGCTTAGGTTGGTAATTCAGCAATAGTCTTCTCATTCTGTGCTTTGCCAAAGACTCTGAATTATTTCCAGCAAACAATTTAACATCTCTTTATTTCCCTTTGTAGGAAAGAAAAGATTTCTCACCCATCATAAGGTTCATGGCCGGGGAACTTATAATAAAATGCAAATTAACAAGATAAAAGCACACACATTTAGTTAATATAAGTTTTAGATGACATAGACGCCTTTAGAAATGAAGACCCCAAGAAACAGGGAAGTTTATGTATTTTTAGGACAGTTGTGTAGACGAATGATTGGAGAACAAAAGGATATGATCTGACTGAGCACGGTGGCTCACACAGGTACTCCCAGCATTTTGGGAGGCCAGGGTGGAAGGATTGCTGGAGCTCAGGAGTTCAAGACTGCAGTGAGCTATGATTGCACCATTGCACTCTAGCCTAGGCAACAGAGTGAGACCTCATCTCTACTAAAAGTTAACAAAATTAGCCCGGAGTGATGGCGTGTGCCTGTAGTCCCAGCTACCTAGAAGGCTGAGGCATTGAGTCTAGGAGTTTGAGGCTGCAGTGAGCTGTGATTGAGCCACTGTGTTCCAGCCTGGACAACAGAGCAAGACTCTGTCTTGGAGGGGGAAAAAAAAAGAACAAAGAGGATATGATCTAAAAAGCTAAATAACTGGAGGAATTTAGCAAGGCCTATTTGTTCAGATTTTTCTTGGAATCTCTGTGTCTTCAAAGATAGAGCATTCCTTTTCTCAGGATATAGGATGGGCTCCCTTGTAATGAGGGTCTTCTTCAAAGGAAGGGCAGAGCTTCAGGGAAGAAGGTTAAGAGGAAGGCGAGAATGATCTTCCTGCTTCTGCTGTTTTCTCAAATGCTAAGGTGCCCTGTTTGGGGGTCGCATGCCCTGAACTCCATCACCCTTCATTCTAAAAGATACGGCAACATCTGCATAGGAATCTTATGAGAATGAGTGAAACACTGCAATACAGTTTTGAGCTTTTCAGAAAGAAGAGTTGTATACAAAAAAAAAGGAGGTATTATAGACTGCAGAATTTCCCACAGAACTTCTATACTGTGTTTTTTTTTTTTCCCCAAGGATTGAGGAAATAATGTCCAGGTGATATTTGGGGAGTAAGAAATAATTATTAAACTTTGGTAGCCATCTAAAACTTTGGACAGTGTCGTTCATTCTTAAGAACAATTTGTGATGTTGATTTACTAAAGTTTACTTCTTTATTCATTCCCCAAAGCAAGGCCATGTTATGATGACAACTGTTGGGTAAAAATACAGTTTTTGCCCAGGCGCGGTGGCTCACGCCTGTAATCCCAGCACTTTGGGAGGCCGAGGCAGGCAGATCACGAGGTCAAGAGATCAAGACCATCCTGGCCAACATGGTGAAACCCCATCTCTATTAAAAATGCAAAAAATAGCTTGGTGTGTTCGCATGCACCTGTAGTTCCAGCTACTCAGGAGGCTGAGGTGGGAGAATGGCTTGAACCCGGGAGGCGGAGGTTGCAGTGAGCCAAGATTGCACCACTGTACTCCAGCCTGGCGACAGAGCAAGACTCCATCTCAAAAAAACAAAGAAACATAAAAACAAAACAAAACAAAAAATAATTTTTGTATTCATGCAGTATACAAACTTTTAGTACCTTTTGCTGCTTTGTAAATGTGGGATCCATGTGACAGCTCAGTTCCTGTTCCTTTTTGTTTATTTTTATTTTTTGGAGATAGGGTCTCGCTCTCTCACTCAGTCTGGAGTGCAGTGACACTATCGTGGGTCACTTCAGCCTCTAACTCCTGGGCTTAGTTGATCCTCCCACTTCAGCCTCCTGAGGAGCTGGGACTACAGGCGCACACCACCGCACCTGGCCAATTTTTTTTTCATTTTTCTTTGGAGAGCGTGGTCTTGCTTTGTTGCCTGGGTTGGTCTCAAACTTGTTGCCTTAAGCTGTCTCCCACCTCAGCCTCTCAAAGTGCTGGGATTACAGGCATGAGCCACCATGCCTGGCCCCTGTTCCTGCCATTGGTAACCCTGGTGCCTTTAGCCAGGATGCTGCTTTATCCCTATTTATGAAGAGATGCATTGAAACTCTAGTTAAAGTGTTCAGTAAGTGAACTTAATTGGGCTTGGTGTACAGTGGCTTTTGATTAAGGCAGGTAGGGAGCTGCTACAACATAGGTAGTTTTCAAATAAAGAAGATGGGAAGAGGCAGTGGGGGATGCTGGACTGATCCTTAGTTGTCAAATTATTTTCAGTAGTACAAATGTGTTGTTACCATCAACAAATACTTGTTGCGCTTTTAGAATAGAGTGAAGTGGGCCAGACACGGTGGCTTATGCCTGTAATCCCAGCACTTTGGGAAGCCGAGGCAGGTGGATCACGCAGTCAGGAGTTCAAGACCAGCCTGGCCAACACGGTGAAACCCCATCTGTACTAAAAATACCAAAATTAGCCAGGCGTGGTGGTGCACACCTGTAATCCCAGCTACTCGGGAGGCTAAGGCAGGAGAATTGCTTGAACCTGGGAGGTGGAGATTGCAGTGAGCCAAGATCACGCCACTGCACACCAACCTGGGCAGCAGAGCGAGACTCCTCCGTCTAAGCGAGGGGGGCGGGGGGGCGGGGGGGCAGGGGGGTGAAGAGTAGAACGAAGTGGGCGAACTAGGGCCCCTGGACCTAATCTAGCCCACCACCTGTTTTTGTACTGCCTGAGCTAAGAATGGCTTTATATTTTCAAATGGTTGGGACAAAAAAAAAGAAAAAGAAAAAGAATGTTTTCTGACACAGTCAAGTTTTATGAAAATCAAATTTCATTGTCCATAAACACAGTTTTATTGGTGTGCAGCCACACCTGTTTGCTTCTGTATCATTTATGACTGCTTAGCGGCTAAGGTGGCAGAGTTGAATAGTTGAACAGAAACCATGTGGCCACAAAACCTAAAATATTTACTGTCTCACAAAAAAAGTTTGCTGACATCTGCTTCAGAATGATACTTGAAAGGTACGCTAAGAGTATTCTGAATATTTCACTTTCTTCTGGGAAACTTTGTGTAAGAAAGTTCAGCTTCTCAGACTTCTTTGTGCTGTTGTTCTAAGTGGTATGCAACATTGAATAAATTATGTATCACCACCAACCACTTTCAAAACAAATGTTTATTTCAGATGCCACTTACTTGTGATCCAATTTGTGTCACTGCTTTTTTTTTCCTTTAATGATGACAGTCTACACTTCACATTGTGATTATCTTATCTAAAATGTGCAATAAATACTAAATTATATCTACTATAGAATTTACATAAAATTAAACAAGCAAACTCTGTATTAGCCAGAAGAGAGATCCAAAATCCCATATTCTGATGTTTGTGCTCTGTATTCACAGGTCTTGATTTTGAGCCTTTACATTTAATTCTAGAAGTTTTAATTATCTGGTTTTCAAGCCTATAATATAAGAAATTACAGAGGGAAAGGCACAGCTATGGGGAAATAGACATGGCAGGTTATAAAAAGATAAATAGTTAAAAAATTCCAAACTAAAATTTTATTTTAAAATAACATCTTTATTGAACCCTTTATATGTGCCAGGCAATGTTTACACATATTCATTTCCATGCATTGCAATAAACTGATGAGATATAGGTATCATTGTCTTCACTTTACAGAGGATGAAACGGAAATTAATAGGTTGAACAACTTCTCTACTTAGGTCCCAAAGCCGGAAGTGACATGGTCTTAATTTGAATGCAGTTATGTCTAAGAACCTGAGCTTTAATAGCATCTGGGCATCAGACCTTGTTATGGGCCAAATCGTCTCCCTCAAGTTCTTATGTCGAAGTTCTACCCTCAGTATTTCAAAATGTGACTGTATTTATAGATAACATCTTTAAGGAGGTGATTAAGATAAAATGAGGCCACAGTGAGAAGGTGGCCATCTGCAAGCCAAGAGAGGCCTCAGAAGAAATGAAGCTTGCAGACACATTGATCTTGAACTTGAAGCCTCCAGAACTTTGAGAAAATAAATTTCTGTTGTTTAAGCCACCCACTGGTGATATTTTGTTAAGGCAGCCCTAGCAAACTAATATAGAGGTACATGATAGTTTTTATTTAGTTGCACAAAACCCATACAAATAGTGGAGGACAAGAGACAGAATCTTTTAAGTCTTTAGTCTTGCAACGAACAATTTTATATACCTGAATGGGATGTCATTGTTTTAGAGCGCAATATAGTAATCCACGTCCTTGAATCATCAAGAAAAATATCTCAACATGTTTCTACTTAAGAAGGCAGGGAAGTGTATAATAAATTCTAGAAACATTTCCACCCAATAATGGTCAAAGAGAAGAGATTCTTAGTGTTTAAATCTGTGAACTCATACCTGTCTATAAAACATACCAGTTTTTAGTATTTTGAAGGTTTGGGGTTTTTTTTTAACTATAAATTTGTTATTATCTATGCCTATTTTATAGCCCCTGGAAGATACTGCTACTATTATCAATAACGTGGAAGAAATGATGTCTTTCCTTTTATGACATAACTGTGAGTCCTATCAAGGACAGAATCTTTGATTGAACCAGTATCCTAAGGGAACTCTGGTGCTCTCAGAACAAGCTATTTTATGACATTGCTCATTGGAGTGTTACTGTGTGTGACTGTCATTTTATAGCCCCCGGAAGATACTGCTACTATTATCAATAACTTGGAAGAAATGATGTCTCTTCTTTTATGACATAACTGTAAGTCCTATCAAGAACAGAATCTTTGATTGAAGCAGTAACCTATTGGGAACTCCGGTGCTTTGAGAACAAGTTGTTTTATGACATTGCTCATTGGACTGTTGCTGTGTGTGAGTGTCTATTGTCTTTGGAGCATGTGAATTGCCGACACTCAATTGTTTTGACCCATAAAAATGGCAATTCCAGAAGGTTCAGTTTACTACAAGGTTGGTTTCAGGGACAGAAATCTCATCTGCCTCATATACTCTGACATACTCAGAGTTGCACCTGCTGGCTTTTATTCTCCAAAGACATCTTCCAATTGTATTATTGACAAATCCGTGAAATACTAAGGTGCTGAAGTTCTCCATTGACTGTGTCATGCCCAGGTGGCTTATTCAAGGCAGGAGATAAAGGTTGTCACTTTATTGGAAAGCAAGCAACTTTTGAGGTGTTTTATTGACTCCTGTGATACTTCTATCTCCTAGACTCAGTCTGTACTCTGACTTTCTTTGTTTCTTTTGCATGGATCCCTTATTTTTTGTTCAATCCCCAAAGTTGGTGGCCCACTCTCTGTCAGCAGCATATTGCAAGGTGATGCCCCCGATCTGAGGCTGAATGGAGGAAGAAAGAGAATAGGGAGTTGGAGATGTAGAGTTTGTGCACCTGAAAGGACTGTGGGATTGTCTCCTTGAACTTGAGTCAGATCAGAAGGGCTTATCTGTGACTTTCTACTGGTTTTCATGTTTGCCTTCTTTAATTTGGAAAACAGCTGATTGTTATATTGATGAGATTAATTTGCTTAGGTTAGACATGGGAGTGTTTTTAATTTGCTACCGTCTGCTTGATCCCAGATCAGAGTCTAACTTTTTGCATTAGCTCCTCTGACTGGGATTGACCAACTTTGTGAAATAAAAGCCTGCCCGCTGCTGCCTCTGAGACTCAGTTATTAGTACCCATGGAAGGGCTTTAGGCAGAAAGCTCTCAGGGAACTCAGAGAGAGTCGGTGAAATCATGGCTGATGCATTCAGAGGACAGAAAGCCAGGCACAGAGTGTTAAATACAACATTTTCTCACCCATATGTGGAAGCTAAAAAAAGTTAATCTCAAACAGTTTTTCTAATGCACTAACTTCTGGGATTATCTTTTCAAAAAGAAACAATGGAAGATAATGAAAACAAATGGAAATGGTTAGCAAGAAAAAAAAAAGGTTGGCTTTATAGAAGTGAAAAGTAAATGGAGCATACTAGCATCTGGGAAGGGTACGGGGAGGGGGGATGGGGAGAGATTTGTTACAGGATACAAAATTACAGCTAGATAGGAGGAATAAGTTCTGGTTGTCTATACCACTGTAGAATGACTATAGTTAACAGTAATATATAGTTTCAAGTCACTAAAAGAAAGGTATTAAATGTTCCCAACACAAAGAAATGATAAACATTTGAGATGATGGATATGGTAATTACCCTGATGTGATCACTGTACATTATGTGTATTGAGGTATCACTGTGTACCTCATAAATACGTAAAATTATTACGTGTCAGTTTTAAAAAGAAGAAAGAAACCTTTTGTTTTTTGTTATTGAGACGGAGTCTCGCTCTGTCACCCAGGCTGGAGTGCAGTGGCGTGATCTCAGATCGCTGCAACCTCCACCTCCCAGGTTCGAGTGATTCTCCTGCCTCAGCCTCCTGAGTAACTGGGACCACAGGCGCATGCCACCATGCCCGGCTAACTTTTGTATTTTTAGTAGGGACAGGGTTTTGCCATGTTGGTTGCCATGCTGGTCTTGAACTCCTGGCCTCAGGTGATCCACCTCAGCCTCCCAAAGTGCTGGGATTACAGGTAGCGTGAGCCACCGCACCTTGCCAAAAAAGCTTTCTTTAAAAAAAAGAAAGTAAACCTGAAACTATTCAAGTCAAAAAACAAAACAAAAGCAGGTAGAATGTTTCTAAGGGATTTAGAGAGAGTAAAACATGTTAGGTTTCATTTCTCTGAGTATGATCAATAGAGTTGGAGTTGGAGGCTCCAGTTGTTTACGGTCATCTCTTGTTATGTGGGGGGCTCTGTGACCTGAGTTAAGCTATTTACTCAAGTCGATGCCCCAGTTCCCTATTCACTCTGCTTCACTGAAGCCTCTTGGGGCTTATTTAGACAATGGTTTCATCATTTCGTCTGAATAGAGTCTGAAGAGTCTTTGGTGGAAGTATGCACTGAGGAGGGAGGCGGCAGAAGTGCCCTATCCCAGGAAAGTGTGCTCCCCAGGATGCGCTGAGCCAGGCACACACAGGACTTGGGGCTACTGAGAAGCAGGTTCTTTTCAAGTTCTGTTGTCCCAGACACCTCCTCCATTTCTTCCCGCTCTTTCTCCACAGCACTTAGCTTTCTACCTGCTGGTTCCCGTAACATCTGTCTTCACCTGGCCTCACCTATCTTCACCTGGCCTCACCTGTCTTCACCTGGCCTCACCTGGCACCTGGTTCCCATAGCACCTCTCTTGGCCTCACTTGGCATCCCTAGCACTCAACAGGTGCTCAAAAGGAGCAACTTAAGGCACATTTCTTCATATGTCTGAATCTGTGCCTTTTCTGAAAAATGAAGAAGGTTCTAAAGATGTTACTTCTATTCAAGAGACCTTAGATATAACTTTATTCTCTTGATGAGGAAACAGAGGCCTGCATTGCCAAAATGGGTTTTGAAGCTATTCATATAAAAACAATGATATCTGGGGGGCCTCATGTGTACTCGGTGCACCACAAAAGGCCCTAAGTGATATAAAGAGAAGAGAGGCATTCATTCCTCTCTGAGTATTTGTGGAGCACTTTGGTTACTAGGTGCTACTCCAGGCACTTAGGGATATGTCAGGGAACAAAACCACAAAAATCACTTTTGCCCTCCTGGATGTGTCAGTCTGGGTTGGGATCGGAGATACAATTGTAGGGGCCAAGAGAAAACTTCTCCTTCACCCTCTGAAGTTTCACTGAAAATCACCTGATAAAAGGCAGATTAATAGGAGAAAAGGCATATACAGTTGCTTGACCATAGTTTATGTGACATGGGAGCCTTCAGAATGAAGACCCAAAAACACAGGGGAAACCATTCACTTTTATGCTTAGGTTCAACAAAGTATAAACAGGTGTGTAAAAAATAGGATTGGACCAAAAGGGAATGATCTAAATCTTATAAGACCAAGCGGGGAAGCCCAGCAAGGCCTGTCTGGAATCTTCTCGGCCTCTCTGAGCATGTATTCCTTCCTTCTGGGTGTGGGGCAGCACCCTCTCTGGAATGGGGATTCTTATGACCTACAGTCAAACAAGATGGGTCATATAATTTCATTGGCCAGTTTTACATAGAAAGGTGGAGGAAAAGTTTTATGGTTTTATGGCTGGCTTTGGGGAAATGGGGTTCTGGTCTCTAGGATCCACCTTGGGGAAGAGGTATTCCAGATTTTATGGCTAGCCTGGGGGAGGATGAGGGGTGAGAGATAGGAGGGCAGGAGAAGGTCGGAGAAAAACTTTTGCTTCTGGGACCTTGATTTTGGGTTATCATTTTCTGAGCTCCAGCATGAACAAAGAGATAACTAAGGGAAATGCACAGGATGTTAGGTGGTGATAGGTGCTCAGGAACAACAATGCAGAGCAAAGGAGATGGGGAGTGTGTGATTAGTGTATGGTGAAGGGGGCAGAGTCCAGGATCGTAGTCTTCCATAAAGTTGCCCGTGAAAGCCTTACTGAGAAGATGGCACTTACGTAAAGAGTGAGAGGAGGTGGGGAGTGCCTTATGCAGTTTTCTGGGGAGCTGTGTTCCAGAACAAAGGCACCTATTGGAGGTGCAGCTAGAAAGTGACTGTGGCTGGAGCTGAGTAAGAGGGGAGTGATGAGGTCAGGAAGAAGGGGAGGGAGCAGATGCTGTAGGATGTCCTAGGCCACTGCAAAACATCTGGCTTTTATCTGAGCTAGGGGAAAAGCACCAGGAGATTTTGAGCAAAGGGTTGACACAATCTGACTGACTGTTCCAACGCGTTCACTCTGGCTGGTGTAGGAGGGCAAGGCTGAGGCTGAGACTAAAAGGAGGCTCTTCTGATGACCCAGGGGGTCATCGGACCACCGATGCCTCTCGGTGACTCAGAAAAGTGGTGATGAGAAGTGGTCAGATTCTGGATTCATATTGTTGGCCAAACCATCTGGCTTTGCTGATGGATTGGATGTGAGGGGTAAAAGAAAGAAGAGTGAAGAATGACCCCCGGGTTTCTGACCTGAGCCCCTGGCAATGTGGTTCTTCTTTACAGACCAAAGGAAGGCCATGGAAGGAGAAGGTGTTGGATAAAGAATCTCAAGCAGGTTCCAGAACCTGCTGAACTTGAGATCCCTTTTGGGTGTCCAGGAGGATCTATCTACACAAGGCACACAGTAAACCCTAATGGGGCGTGATGAGGGCCACACTCGGAGTGTAGGTGACAGTGCCTTCTGTTGGTACAGCATGCCGTGATGTCATGTTGTATCACACACATCGATTAACTCACTGCAGAGGCTGAAGAAGGCTTTTGGGGGTGATATCTGATTTTGACCTTGAAGGAAAACTAGAATGTCAGTAAGTAGAAAAGAAAGAAGAGGTCATTCAGACTGAGAATGTGAGTTCCCTGGGCTGATCTGCCATTTAATGAATACATTTAACAACAGCGTTAAATACTTCCAGGCTAAGAAAGAGTACCTAAACTGTAATATTGTTTTCTAATTTAATATTACAAAAGGTTGTTTGGGAAACTGTAGAGAAAGCCCCCAAATGAAGTATTTGCTTCATATTTTCTTAAAATTAACAGTAGGATATTTAGTATTTGATATAATCGTTTAATAAAAATTATATTTTATATAATTCAAAGAATAAATAAATATCTCCAGTACTCTTTTAAGGAGTAGCTAATATTAAATAAAGCCACCAAGGAATGAATCTAGGTGGTTTCTGTTTTTAGGAAGTAAGTAAGTAAAACATGATTTTTTTTTTCACAAACAATCTAAACATTTTAGGAGTGTGTCAGGTTCAAATAAACACATTGACGATTTTTACAGTTTGTACTGATGGGAGGATTTTCATGTGACTCTCAGAAAAACACCTGAGTGATTTTCATTTTTACTGCATTGTTGCTTTACTGTTTGAAATGATCCCATGAGTATAACAGGGCTGGCTCCTTGCTCATTATTGATCATCTAAACATCTTCTTTATTTCCCTCAAATACTGTATTTTTTATGAAGCCACAGCTTGTAAATAACAGGAAGGGAAATAAAGTGTTTTAAACTAGAATTAAAAGGTTAAAATATGGTTGTAACTCACATTCTTCAAATGTTTGAACACGGGTTACCAAGGCACTTAATTATTTAAAAACCATGGTTAGATGGATTAAGTTAATTAAAGAACCTGGAGAGGCTGTTCCGCAGCTGCCTAGGTGTCAGACTGACTCAGAAATTCTGACTCAGAAATTCTGAGTAGCAAAGCGCCCACATCGCTACCTACCTGCCACCCAGTGCTCTGACACGAGCCATCTCAGAAAAACAGTCTGTCGCCCACGGGCCAGCTCCAGCAGATGCACCTCGCAGTGGGAGGGTGGGCGGGTGCGGATGAGCTGAGCCGTTTCGCACCCCCAGACAGCAGGGAAGAGCACTGTTGTGTGGATCCACAATCTGTCATCCACTGCTACTCCCATCTCACCCTCCCCTCCACTGCAGAGCAGCTGATGTTTGAAAATCCAACCAACCAAGATGGAATAAGGAAAAAAAACTAAAATTTTAAGAAAGTTGGGGAGCACAAAAAAGCAAATTTCTGTTAGTAGTTGATGGGATGTGACCTAAAGCAATATTTGCTCTTTCAGCAACTCTGGTGGAACACCAGAGTTATTTGTAATCTGAATGAGGCTAAAAGGATATGTTTGGCACCTGAACTTGCCTGTCTAGATTCTCTGTTTCGCTTCACTCAGAACTATGTTTTGTGCGTTGACTTGTGTTAGTCATCTCTACCCAGATGTCTGGGCTGTGTCTCATTGACCCAGTGGCAGTGGAGTATGTGTGCCCTCAGAATTTCTTCTGCCTGTCTTCAGTGTCCCAGTCTCTACACAAGCTCAGCTAAGGGTGGTGCCATCTCACGGGAGCATTCCCTCATAACCATCACTGGCTTGGGGAATGGAGCTGGCAAATCAAATTGTCATCGGTGATATCAGGCTGAATGAATACTATTGAAAAGTCCAACCTCGAAGATGGAAACAGTAGGTATTGGAGAATCCAGAAGAGGGAAGGATGGAAGGAGGGCCAGGGTCCAGAAACTACCCATTGGATACTATGTTCACTATTTGAGTGATGAGTTCATGAGAAGCCCAAGCCTCACCATTATGCAACATACCCAAGTAACACACCTGCACACGTACCCCCGAACCTAAAGTACAAAAGAATTGTAACAATTTAAAAAGTCGGCCGGATGTGGTGGCTCACGCCTGGAATCCCAGTACTTTGGGAGGCCGAGGTGGGCAGATCACCTGAGCTCAGGAGTTCGAGACCAGTCTGGCCAACATGGTGAAACCCTCATCTCTACTAAAATTCAAAAATTAGCCAGGCGTGGTGGTGGGTGCCTGTAATCCCAGCTACTTGGGAGGCTGAGGTGGAGAATTGCTTGAACTTGGGAGGCAGAGTTTGCAGTGAACTGAGATTGTACCACTGCACTCCAAGCCTGGGCAACAGAGCAAGACTCTGTCTCAAATAATAATAATAATAATAATAAATTTTAAAAGCCCAACCTAATGTAGTGAAAAGTGAGAATCATGAATTATTTTTAGGGAAAATGTTTATGTTCAGAGATACTGAATGACCTTACATAGACTGAAGTGAATGTGCGGATTGGAAGTGTGAAAGCGTTGAACTGGGGATTGGTGGCCTGGGTTCTCTTCAGACAAGAATTCATTGTGGATTTCTCTAGATTTCGGTTGCTTCAGCTATACAATGAAAAGGCTAAGTAAGACCCCCTTCTAACTCTAACATTTTATAATCCTAGGTCTTTGGAATATTTACTGAGTACATCCCAACATGTGGGGATGCATTAAAAAATACTGTAAAGGGATAATCACTGAAATATAAAAGCCCACAGCCAGCTGGGGAGACTCGACTGAAACATCAAAGTCCCAGAAAGCTGCATAGGGTGTAGAGACCTAACTGTTGAATTGTATGGGACCCCATGGTAATTGGGTAATTGGGTAAGTGGGTAACATCTGTAGGACTTTGATAGGGAGATGGCTGAAGTGGTCAGGGAAGCTTTATGGAGTAGGCGCACTGAGATAAACAGGCAGTATGGTAAGGTTAGGTAGAGTGGGCCGGGGAAGAGGGTTGTTAAGGAAAGGGACATATACTCAGCACACCCATCCAGAAGTGGAAGGCAGCCTTGCCTTAGAGAGACCGTGAGGGTGCCAGCCTCTCAGAGCCAAAGCTCCCTGCTGGCACACAGCAGCAGGCGACAGGCACTGAAGGTGGAGGTGAGACGTGGGAAGCAGATCTGGCACTTGAGTCAGTAGAAAATGGGGAGCCTCTGTGGGCTCCTGGTCCTGCACCGTGATAAATAGCCTGTCCTGCAACCTGGCTTAAAACAGGGAAAGCCGGAGTTAGGCAACAGAGTGCCTAGCTTTCTCAGTCATTCAAACACAAGCACGGAAGAAGAGATTGCACTGACCAGAGGACCGCCAGGGTGTGATGCTCCGTAGTCGCAGGGATGAAGGAAAACCATGGGCGGAGCTTGTCATGGACAGCTCCTAGGTGGACATAAATGGAAACTCATTGGTTCTGGGGCACGGCGGGAAGAGGGAGACGGCCCTGGACGGCCGCACCAAGAATTTCACAACCCAAACCCGACTAGAAAGCCTGGGTGAGTAGCGAAGTTGTTGCTGTACGTAGGAATATAAGTTTTTTCTGGATGTGTATGTGGCAGGGGATATAGAAGGGAACAACCCCAGTTCTGTGTCTCTTCACCTCCTGATACCTGTGTGGGCCGGCCTGACCCCAGACATCAGGTGTTCTTCTGAGAGGTGGGCAATGGGAGCTGGTTCCACCATCTGAATTCTCATGGATTCAGCCGTAAAATGATGAGTAACCTCTCAAGGGTGTACCTGTAGGATGCTGCTTGTAATTACTGTGTCAGTTAGTTACAAATGGGTACTTCTAAGTAGTTTTGGAAGCGTTTGAGTAGTTGCTGCAATCGTGTTTATACTGTTAATTGGCTTTAAATAAATTATTTTTTGTCAGAGCAAAACCCCAACTTCAGTTCAGTTCCTACGTCACTGAGTTGTAACTTAACTAAGCTTTAGTTTACTCTCATCTTTAAAAGAAACAGGCATTCTTTGCATTTTGTACAATGCTTTGCATTTTGTAATTGTTCAAGATAACTTCTTGGTACATTGGCCTCAGATTAAGGATATCTGGCTTCTCTTTAATCTCTTAATATTTTCATTTTTGCTCTAGGGCTCCCAATATTACAAGTCTGTTCTTGACAAGGAAGTTGGGATGACAGAACTACTGTATGAAAACTCAGAAATGCTCAGAAGTGCAGACCTTTGGTTCTGTTTTCTTCCTCATCAGATAGGAATTTTTTTTAACTACGCACAGAATCACACTTGCGAAGTCTTCTTTTCCTTCTTGTTACTTTATTTAGAAGCTGTGAACTCAAGAAGTAGGTCCCATGTTGAATCTACATGTGCGCAGGTGATTCTTTTAGCCAAGTCATTTCCACACTCATGCCCAAGTCTGGAGATACACAGGTATGTGGAAATGTTTGAAAAGCAAAACCAGGTTGATGAGACTTTCAATCTCTTGATAACCTGTCATCTAACCTCTGAGGGTCCACTCTGGTAAATGTCAACGTCAGACATGCTACCTCTCCAGGTCACCTTGGTCAAGTGCACTTTCAGAGCAGTGAGAGCACCATAGAAACTTGATACATAGCTTGTTTGCAGCAAAAGAGAGAGGTAGATATTAGCATTTCCAAAAGAGCTACTTAAAACAATTATAGTAGGTTGAATATGAGCCCTATAATAATGTCACCCTTACTTCTGTTCTTACATGTTCTGACAAGGAAAAGACCGTGCCTCATCTCTGGCTCTCAGAATTGTCCATCATCCACAGTCTATTTTATTTATACCTACGTGGTAACTGCTAACTCAAATAGGCGTGATGGTGACCGATTATCATTGTGTTTCCCTTTGCCACCAGGTGCGGGTTTCTGACAACATCAAGATATGAAAGGTTGTCACTCACTGAACCCCTAATGTGTGTTTAACTGTTGGGGAAGAATGGGAATCACTGCCCTGAGACACAGAATTTAATTAGGCCTGCTTCTTTGTGTTTCTCTTTAATGATAGGATTTTAAGCTCAACGGTTATCAGCTCAAAAGCAGAAAATGTTCATTCCCGTTTGTGCCCTGGTATCTTGAAGAATGTGCAATAGGTGAGCTTGCCATTAATCTAACTGAATTTCTCCCTGCTTGTAGACATTATGGTTTTGAAAACAGCCTTCTAAGAGTGCACTAAAGTTACCCTACCCTCACTCATCATCTCTACTCTGCAAGTCTAAAAATGTGGCGTGTGTCAGGGTACACAGTAAGACAATTCATTTATTTTTAAGTGTTTCCATTCTCCACTCATTTCCTCATCTGTGCAGTGAGGCTGAGCTAGAATTTAGCTGTGTGTTCCTAAAGAAATGTGCTCACTGTTTTCACACATTAGCCTTGTTCCTATGCTGGGTCTGATTACATGCTGATAGATTCTGGTTTTTTTTAAGCAAGTAATTCTCCTTTTCCCATTAAATGCAGAGGTAGAGGGAGGAGTTTCATCCGGAAATGTCCCTGATTGAGACTGTCTTCTAGGTTGGTCCTCTTTGGCTCGAACAGAGGGAACCACTGCATTAGGCTTGACAGAGGTCTCATAGTTCAGCCTGGCTGTAGCCCTGGAAGTCAGTTGGACAGCAGTTGCCCAAGATGCCATGACAAAATTTACCCATCCTGTTCCCTCTTCCACGTGCGTGCTGCTGTGCTTACTGGAACAGGAAAACATTGCGTTGTCTTCTGCTAAGTGGGAATAGGACATTTGGCTGAAAAGCTTCTTATCATGGGCTAATATGTGCTCTGTCCACTCAGCTCAGGGAACTCTCTCATTTTATTCCCACAGGCTGCTGCTTAAGTTAATGATTTCTTTGATGACAGGTTCTGCATGAATTCACTTTAACATCGTTGCTCTGTTTTCTACTCTTTTTTTTCTCCCTAAAAATGTGAGCTCTAATTTGAAGCTAATAAGTTTTGACATGCAAGCAACCAAATTACTGGATAGAGCAAGGAGAATATTTTATTAGTAATTTTGACCAGATAGGATGGTAAGGTCAGTTAATGAACTAATGAACCTCAGGGTTCATTTTTTTATAACCTTACCGGGACTGGATTTCTTTCTTTCTTTTTTTCTTAAGCTGCCAACAGTTCTTGTCAGGATTCAATGTAGATGCTGCTGCTGGCTGTCCTGGTGGTGGTTTGATCTCTGTTGTGTGGGCTTCACAAGGGGCTCTGGTTCAGTGATTCCAGTAATGGCTACCACTCGGTGACCACATAGTGTGTGCTGCACACTGGATGTGACTTTTTTGTCCTTCCCTGCATTGGTGCTTCTGCTGTCCACTCACTGGTCTTAGAGGTCCTGGCTTTTCTTCCTGAGGATCGTGGGTTTGGGCCTCTTTTCAGAAGGAGCCCAGTGTGCACCTTCCTGACTGGCAACTCTGCTTTCTTTGTCCTCCTGCTGTTCTCCCTCATCAGGTTCATTAGCAGTTCAGCTCTCAGGACTTAGTTTTTTGGGGCATCCCATCTCTTAGGCAGTCTTTTCATGTAAAGACATTCGGAAGGAGAGCATCCTCTCTATTCTCAGAAATGTTTTGAAACCTGTTTTCTCAGTGTCTTGTGTCTGCCTGCAGCTCCCAACCAGATCTTCCTCCTTGGCCTTTACAAAGACGAGGTTCATTTTTGTTGACTTGGGTTTGCTTCTGTCTGCCATTTCAATGATAACTGTGTTGATTTTTAGTGAGTGAATCATATGAAAATAGCAATGAGAGCCTGGAGAAACATGGGGTGGAGAAGAGGAGGTTACAAGCAATACTGGTTTCTTTTGTGACCCTGAGAAATCTATCCCATACTAGATGGATTTGCCATTTGCCTTCTTCTGACAGGTATGAAATTGTCAAAGTATGTAAACAAACAAACAAACAAAAAAAACCACACCACATTTTTAGAAGAAAGCTCCATTGGAGTATGTATTATAGGATTCTTCTGCAGAGCATTTTCATGTAGGTTATCATGTTAAAATAAGCTAGATTAACATAATGTCCTTGGGAAATGATGATAGCCCAATGAACTTAATGTTTGTTTTTCTGAAGGATTCAAGGGATATTCTTGAATCTGAGAATATGTGATTTCATTACACTCCTAAACCACCAATTCTGTAAGGTGAAATTTGAAGTCCTATTATCAAATAGGCCTATCTCTCTAGAAAAATAAAGTCATGGTGCTAATTTGTCTAAAATCTTGATTAATGCCCTGTAAAATACTAAATTTATTTAGTGTTTAGGAAAACTCTGAAAAGGACACAAGCTTTAGTATTGCAGTTTCCAGTGTCTAAAATTCCATGTTTTTTTCATTTTAGGAGGGATAGTTTTTGGTTGTTGTTTGGGCTTGGAAGAGAGGATTTTAAAGGAAGAGATACAAACAGCCCATGATTTAAGAAGAAAACATTAAGCCTCGTTAATGGTAGGTGTTAGGGGAAAACCCTAACATTAGCCTCTAGCATGAGGGAGTGAAATTAACATAGTCACACATCCGCAACACAGCAGTAGTGTATTCATTTATTAATAGCTGGGTACAAAAAAATTGTGAAGACATGTGCTTGGCAATGACTACGATGAGAAGGGGACTATGAGAAATAGACACACACAATAAGAATATTTACATTTTGGGCCGGGCGCAGTGGCTTACACTTGTAATCCCAGCACTTTGGGAGGCCGAGGCGGGCGAATCACAAGGTCAGGAGTTTGAGACCAGCCTGGCCAACACAGTGAAACCCTGTCTCTACTAAAAATACAAAAATTAGCTGGGTGTGGTGGAGGGTGCCTGTAATCCCAGCTACTTGGGAGGCTGAGGCAGGAGAATTGCTTGAACCCAGGAGGCGGAGGTTGAAGTGAACTGAGATCTCGCCACTGCACTCCAGCCTGGGTAACAGAGCTACTCTGTCTCAACAACAACAACAACAAAAAAAAAAAAAAAGAAAAAGAAAATACATTTTGGTATAGCTTTTCAGGTTCTTAAACTGCTTTCACAAACTTCACTTCTCTTGGTAGTTAAAATGTTTATGTGCGGACAACAGGGCAGACACTAATGACTCCTGTTTCTCAGATGTGAAATCTGAGGCCAGAAAATGTATCAATAAATGGCTGCTTAATGTGCAGCAGTTGGAAGTGGCAGTACAGGTACTCAAACCCAGGTGCTCAGACAGTCCCGGATGGAGGCTGTTGGAGAGAGTCAACGAGGCTGAAGGCAGAGTTTTTAGCAAAGCAGGGCTCATGGGATTGTTATGCCCACCAGATGCTCTGCAACAGTGACTTTAGCTTTATTAAGTGCCCTGGTTATTCTTTAGTAATAAGGGTCACTAGGGAAACTTCTGTTGCTAATGCTCATGCATTTACACTTCCTTAGAATCACTTAATGAAAAGCTGAAGGAAAAGCAAGATCATCTGTTGGGAGCAGACAGAAGCCTGATTAAGTTTTTCAATTTGCCAGTATGTCCTGCTGAGGCATATGAGTATGAAGTGGTCATTATGTCCAGACAGAACACTTCATCAAAGAAATAAGTGTTTCTTTTCCAAGTTAAATTGATATATATTATAACCCTCACTCGTACTCAGGCTTCTACTCCTTGGCCCAGCTCCAAAAGAAAGAAGAGTGTTTACTTATAAATAATTCTCTAGTCCAACCTATGGACCGCTTAGGCCAATTCTTTAAAACAGAATTCTCCTAATAGCCAAAACAGGTAAATATCCAAGTGTTTTTTTTCTTTTAGAAACTACTTTAAGATTGTGTTAACAGCAGTTATCAATTTGTGAAAGGAAAAATTATCATCTTTTTTATATAAATGTTTTATGTATGTACTTGGTTGGATGGGGAATATCCCTGAGGGTATAGTCAACACAGAAAAGCACAATAAATAATGATATTTCGCTAGAAAATAAAAGCCATATTTAGTGTTTATTCAGGTCACACATATATTTTGAGTTCCACTGTGAGCCTGTCTCTGCTAGGCTTGAAATATGGTAATAAACAACAGATAGTCTTTGTCTAAAGGCAACCTGGAATCTGCCTCCAAGATCATAACATTTTTGTTGCTTTTCATGCTTTTGAATTGTTGAGTAAAAATGGAAGCTTTAAGCCAGTAGGGCATCACGACTATATATATTTTTTATTTCAAATTATAATACTTCTTTATATATGATTTGATTAATAACATGTTAATAAGCCATAAGCCAATAATTTTTTTTTGTTAAAAACTAAGCTATGAATTTGCTTTTGCCGAATGAAATTTATTCAATCATTTGCTGATCCATTTATTCATACTTGGGCAAAATATTTTGGGGGCACCTACTGTGTGCCAGGCATGTTTTTAGATGCTGAGGAACATCAGGGAACAACAGACTAAAATTCCTGCTATGTAATATCTATTTCAGAAGGCAAGAATGACAATAATATAAATAAATAAAGCATAAAATATTTTACATAAAATAAGTGTTAAGAAAAAATACAATAAAGCATTGAAAGGTGATATAAGGTTTGCATTGAAGAGAACGTTGATATTTTATATACAGTGACTTGGGTAGGCTTCTCTGAGTAGGCGACCTGAAGTTGGTGAGTAAGCCAGCTCTGCATAATAGGGGAAAGACCATTCAGGCCATGCGGGCAGCCACGTGCAAAGGCCCTGAGCCAGGAGTATACCTAGTATCGAGCTAAGAGGCCAGTGTGGCTGGAGCTGAATAAACAGTGGGGAGTCGTAGCAGATGAGATTAGGGAAGTAGTGGAGTCAGATCATGTAGGACCTTATGGGCCCTGATAAGGATGTTAGGTTTTGTTGTAAGCAAGTGAAGTTGAGGAGTAACATGATATCCTAGTTGAGTGAAGTTGAGGAGTAACATGATATCCTTGTTTTCTTAGGGTTGCTGTGGCTCCTGTTTATGGGAGGCTGGGGCCGATCAGGGAGACCAGCTGGGAAGCTATTACTGTAATCCTCAGAGAGATCTCCGTGGCTTGGGCTACAGCAGGAGAGTGAGAGTTGGTGGATTCTGAATGTCATTCAATGGTAGAGCTAGTAAGATTTGCTGGTGGATTGGAAATGAGTGAAAGAGAGAACAAGAGATAAGTGAGGCTGCAGGATTTTGGCTTGAGCAACAGTGAGAAGAAGGTGCCACTGACTGAGAAGAGCTAAACCCCAGTAGAGCCAAGTTGGGAGGTGGTGAAAAAAATCCAGGTGCTCAGCTGTGGATCTGTTAAGTTTAGATGCCTGTGTGATGGCCAAGTGGAGATGCAGAGGAAGAAGTTGGGTGTGTGGGTCTGGTCTCCCTCACATTAGATATCTGAACAGGGAGGAATCGGATCACAAGACTGGGGGGTGGTTAGTGATGTCATAGGAAAAACAGGTGATCCCTCTAGGACAAGGGATCACGAGAGAGGTGGAGAGGCATTGAAGGCAGCAGGGGGATCATGGTTTCTACATGTTGTCCTGCAAAGGGGCACAGGAGAATGGGCAGTAGGTGGCAGGGAAGTGGAGGATCAAGAGATGGTGTTTAAGATGGTGAGATGGGGCCAGGTGTGGTGGCTCACGCCTGTAATCCCAGCACTTTGGGAGGCCATGGCGGGAGGATCATGAGGTCAGGAGATCAAGACCATCCTGGCTAACATGGTGAAACCCCATCTCTCCTAAAAATTCAAAAAATTAGCAGGGAGTGGTGGCGGGCACCTGTAGTCCCAGCTACTTGGGAGGCTGAGGCAGGAGAATGGCGTGAACCCAGGAGGCGGAGGTTGTAGTGAGCCAAGATCGTGCCACTGCACTCCAGCCTGGGCGACAGAGTGAGACTCTGTTTCAAAAAAAAAAAAAAAAAAAAAAGATGGTGACATGGAAGAGCAGTAATGGTTATGGAAACAAGGCAGGTTCACTGGGCTGTGTTTTTGAGCAGGTGAATGGGGCTAAGACCCCATACCCAGGAAGCGAGCTGGCATCAGAAGCAGAAGACTGAGGTCATTTTTATGGATGGGAGATGTGCTGGTGGGTTTTTAGAAGAGCTCATGTCAGTTGGCATCCATTTCTTCAGTAAGGTGAGAAGGTAAGGAAAATTAGAAACAAAGGACTTTTAAAAACTCACCAATATACATACCAATTTTTCTGCCTATCTCTCAATTTTCACCATCCTTTCTTTCAAGCTAGACTCTCAGCTCCTTCAAATTAAAATTTTCCATTTGGCAATGCAAGTTTATCTTTTCTTAAAGACGGAATGACCAGCCTTTTGATGGAAGATTTTATGACTCTGGTGTCTTCCAATGACGTGACCAGTGATGAGGTTTGCATCTGTGTAAAACCTACAGATTGGAATTCTGCTTTCTGGTGCAATGTAGTGTTGGAATGTAATGTCGTTTTGGGAACCTCAGGATTGAGAGCAAACCCAATTCAATCATTGGAGGAGCAAGAAACTCATTTTACGTTTTAAATGGTTCTATTCACTGGGCTGAATAGACTCAATATTTAAAACCCTTAAGACCAGTGATTCTCAATGGGTTGTGGAGGGAGAGGGATAGGCAATTTGAAGACTCAGTAGTATATTTAATATTTACTATTTATCATGCAATTTATAGAAATGAATGCTTGACAATGTCGTGGGCTGTGGAAAAATGAAAAAAAAAAACACAGGGTTGTCCTCTCCTGCTTCTGTTATATTTATTTTTGTTATGTTGTTTATCCAAAGGGGGCATTGATTATAACAGTTAGTAAAATACTGGTGTGGCTATTCACCTTTGTTAGCTTATATGTCTTAAGTGGTACAAACAAAGCCAAGTAAGTGTCTGATGTGAGATCCTTAAAACCGGGAGGCCTGGGTGCTCCTTCTTCCCCTGACTCCAGTATTCCTGCCCTGGACAGTGAGCCCACCTGAAGCTCTTTCCTGAGGTCCCACAAAGAAGGGTCTGATGGTTTTATCAGGAAAAAAATAATTAATTTTTTAAAATTTTAAATGGAAAAAATTAAATTAGTTAAAAATTAAAAATGGCTCTTTTCCTTGTTTCTCTTGTTTTTTGATGACCAATACCTAAAAAAGAGAGAAAAAAAAAAAAGAATGAAATTGTCAACTCAAGAAATGAGGGTTTTGCAGAAGGGAGAATGTTTTTCTTCCCCAGGCCTGATTGGACTGGAGCACTGCAGGGTAAACTGTGCTCTGCAGCAGCTTTGTGAAGCAAATCGTTGACCGATTGTGGAGGCTGCAGAGCAGTGATGGCCACGGTGACGCCAGCCTCAGGGCCTCCCCTTGAGGAGGCTCCCTGGGCCATCCTTTTGGGGCTGAGTGGCCATATTGCACAGGTGCAGGGCTGTGGGGAGCCAACCGAGGACACACAGCATGTGATGAGCACTCCAGCTCTGCATCCATGGGCTCGATGACTAAGTGAGGCCATCCATGTGCAGGGAAACGTTTTATGCCAGAGAGTAATATTTTTGGAAAGGGAGGAACTCATATGATTCTGCTGAGCAGCTTGTTCTTCCTACATTTGGCTCTGTGGGGTAGTGTGTATGTCTGGAAGTGGCAGTTACATGTTTCCCACTACCTCGGGGTAAATGTCCACAAAAAAATAACACTCACTGTTTGGGAAAATTAAAAAATAAGCCTAGGGATGATTAGGTTCCTCTGATCCAAGTCTTTGGAAGTCTTCTCTCCACATTTGTGCACCCATGTGTGGGTTTGTCCTGGCTGATGGGCTCCAGTCCTAACACACCCAAAAAACAGATGAATATATAGGGCTTGAGTTTTTCACTCATATGATCCTGAATTAGGACAAAGTCCAAAGAAGGGGCTAACTGACCTCACACAGTACTTGTTCTCCTTTTTCTTTCTTATATAGCATATTTTTAACCACTCATTTGGCCCCTAATATCCTGTTTTGCATTTTTAAATGTTCTTTGCTTTTTGACTCTACAAGTATATTTTTCATAAGACAAGAACATGGATCTAGTCCTGTGTTTCTTTGAAGAATCTGCAACATTTCAAATAGTTGGATAAATAGTAGATATGTCATAGGGATGTGAATATCAGAACCAAAGTGTATTCCTGTGTATTTTGATTAGATATGAGAAGGGTTGATTTTCTGACTTTTATGTTGCCTAATTGAATCCATTTTTCCCATAAGCAGCACCTTCTTTTTCACTTCTAAGCGTCCTTCTCATTTATCTGGCAAGAGTATTTAAACTAGAAGAATCCTAACGTCTGACAAAGCATTGAACATTCTTTCTATATTTGTGTCAAATACTTGATTCTCTTTCTTGTTAATATCATAAGGGAGAGAGTTGATGCTTCTTAAGCTGTTCAATTACAAAAAAAACAACAAAGAAAACCACACAACTGTGAGGCAATTGGTCATCTCGTGAACGTGGCATTGTGGTTTGCATGTTTGCTCATTTTTGCTTTTGTACTCCTGGCATTTATCCGGAGAGCTCCTTCCTGCAGAGTGCCTGAATGCTGGTTCCTTCTTACACATGAGCCACGTCAGAACACACCTGGTGGGACTCCTCTGTGGGGCTCTTCCCATGCCTGTTTCCTGCTCTGGGCAGTTGGTGGTCTGGGGCATTGGGACATATAGAAAAGAAGCTGAGGAGGAAAGGCGTTGTTGCTATTACTTCAATATTCTCATTTTTCAAGTGAGGATTTACAAAGGGGACTGTAAGCTTTCCATCCGAAGAGAGGTCTGAGGTAAGAATTCTTTTCTCCAAATGAGAAAGACTGGAATCCCACCAGGTGTGTGGGAAGCTGCAGTGAGAAAACCAAATAATCCTGGTTTGAAGAGTTAAATATTCTTGGTAACATTTGAATAAATTGGAAACATATTCCTCTGAGAATTTTTTTTTTGCACCATAGATAGTTTCTAAAAGGCGTGGAAACATTTATAAGAAATACCAATTATGCAGTGTTGGTGTCAGTGTGGACTTAACTGCCGAGACTGACTTATTGCCAGGTGGGCAGGTGAAGTAATAAAGAAATAATTGGAATTCTTATTGCTGAACTCTAAAGGACTCTCAGGAAACCTAACCTTGCTTTTGACCTACTGATTAGCTTGAATTCAGCGGACTCATTATATTCTAATTTCATCTCCATTGAAAGATAAAACAGACTTAGAAGTAATTAATTATAGTTAGATATTAATGATCAAGTGAATTGACTTCAAAAGTCATTTTCATGTGAACTGATTTCCCTGTGATGGAACTTTGGTAACATTTTACATTTGTATTTTTAATCTCTTAAGTAAGTACTCCTGTAAATTGTTCCAAAAGAAGTGGTTTTCTGGGATAACGTAGAGAATGAAGGTCAGGTCTGGCTCTTGTGCTATGGTTCTGCTTTTCTCTCTCTCTTTCTTTTTTAGACAGGGTCTCGTTGTGTCGCCAGACTGGAGTGCAGTAGCTCAATCTCAGCTCACTACAGCCTCCACCTCCCAGGTTCAAGTGATTCTCAGGCCTCGGCCTCCCATGTAGCTAAGATTAAAGCCTTGTGCCACCACACCCAACTAATTGTTGTGTTTTTAGTAGAAACGGGGTTTTGCCATGTTGGCCAGGCTGGTCTTGAACTCCTGAGCTCAGGTGATCCACCCGCCTTGGCCTCCCAGAGTGCTGGGATTATAGGTGTGAGCCACACTGTCCCTGGCCAACAGGCTCTACTTTTCTCATAGGCGATGCCCGAGGGTGTCGGTCTAAATTGGCATCTCTCTTAAAATCTAGTGAGTTTATCCTGAGATGGTAAGTTTCTTCAGCAAATAAATGGAAGCACAAACAAGCCGGAAGACTTTCTATGTAGGACACTCTGTAGGTCCTTAGAGTATGGCTCTCACCAGGTGTTTTCACTCTACTTTCTGCCTGTCGGAGGGCTGAGTCACAATGAAGAATCTTCAGCCAGAGCACACCACCTTCTAATTAAAGTGCTGCTTTCCTCTATATTTTGAGTCCTCTCAAATTTCATAGGCTTCTACAAGCTTGCTCCATGCAGAGCCCTATGCCAGGGTTTCAGGGTTAGAGATACAGATAGACTCAGTAATCAAGCAGCTCGTATCTTAGAGAAACATCTAAACTGATTATTGTAATACAAGTGATGTACAATTAAGATTGCTTGCAGCTGCAGTAAACAAAAATCCCAATTTATAATGGCTTAAATTTATAGGAGGGACACGTAAATGTTCTCACACTGTAAGGTCTGGCAGTAAGCGGATGGGGTGTTATATCCCCACTTAACACGGCAGGGTCCTGTTGGCACTTCCTGGCTTGCCATTCCTTCTTCCTGTGCTGGGGTCAGGGAGGAAATGGAATTTCTCCTCAACCCTCATAAGTTCATAAGTTGATGAGACAGATCCCTGTAACAAAAGATAGATTAACAAGAGAAAAACAAGCAAGTTTATTAACACAAGCAGTGCATGTCCCATGAGAGAAACCTCATGAATGGTAACTCAAAGCAGTGGCTTAGATAGCATCTTCAACAAAGAACAACAAATTCAAGGCAAGTGACAGGACAAAGGAAAAGGATTTTGAGTGTCTGCAGGGAGCCGCTTGGGCAGCAGATGAACAAATGGCAGGGCAGATAAAAATTAGTGAATAAAATTTGTTGATATCAGTTCCTCTGGTGTCATCTCAAGTTTGATGAGGGTCAAAGCTGTCTTCAGTGGTTAGCTTTTGGTGGAGAGGTGGGCAGGATACCTTATGTGTTTGTCAATCATCTGTCTCCTGTTTTTAGGCAAACAGAGGGAGGGCAGAGAGCTCCCCTGCGTCTTCTTCATTGTCTTCAGCTCAGCAATTTTTCCTGCTTTTGGGGAGTCATGTTCTGGTCTCTCACTCTAGGTTTGACCTCATGCTAGTCACTCTACCTCATGAGATGCCTGCTCAGCTGCAGATGTGTTGTTTGTGTTAAAGGCAAGAAGAAACAAAGATTCCCCCAAACCAACTTCCCTCCAGGTTTCCACTTCTATCTCATCAGCCAGAGCTCTGTCATGTGGTCACTGCAACCTTCCCGGGAGGTGAGAAAAGGAACTGTGTAGCTTTCCTCTGCTCCATGGTAGGGACAGACAGGGGACAAGGGCAGGTGAGCAGATACTGGCCCTGAGGGGCTTGAAGACAGGTCAGAAAGATGAAAGGGAGCAGCATGTACAAAATCATGCAAGTGTGAAAGGGCAGGGGGTGTTCTGAGACCACGTCCTGGTTCTCTGATGCAGGCGCAGGCAAGCATTGAGGCTGGACAGGTGGGCAGGGCTTGTTTGTGAGGGACACTGAGAGGACCTGCAGGATCTGCCCTTTAGCCTGTGGCCATGGGAAGTGATGCTGTGGGGGATGGACGGGTAGAACAACCCAAACTAAAACACAGCAGCGGTGATAGAGTAAAAGCAATGAATTCGGGAAATCATTCCAAAGTCACTGGCTCTTGGTGCCATTTTTTTTTTCTTTTGAGACAGAGTCTCACTCTGTCACCCAGGCTGGAGTGCAGTGGCGTGATCTAGGCTCACTGCAACCACTGCCTCCTGGGCTTGAACGATTCTTCTGCCTCAGCCTCATGAGTAGCTGGGACTACAGGCATGCGCCACCGCACCCGGCTAATTTTTTTTTTTTTTTTTTGCATTTTTAGTAGAGATGGGGTTTCACCGTGGTGGCCAGGCTGGTCTCGAACTTTTGACCTCAGGTGATCCACCTGCCTTGGCCTCCCAAATTGCTGGTATACAGGCGTGAGCTGCTGTGCCCAGCCTCTTGGTGCCATTTTAATGTCAGTGATGAGGAAGGAGGAGTCAGGGAAGTAGAGCTGATCTCTGAGCCACAGCAGGTTTGAGGGGAGCTTGCTAGTTCAGTCATGCATATGTGGGGTTATAGGTGGCTATGGCACATCCACAGTGGTTAGGAGTAGAGGACTGGATTTGGTGAGAGAAGTGGGGACTTAAAGAGTATAAGTAAGGGACTTTGAGCAGAGAGTGGGGAGGCTGTGGGTACTAGTTGAAATAAAATGGCCAATGGGCATGTTCGGGGTGAGCAGCTGGTCCACTCACTACACTCTAACTGGAATCCATGTCTATGTATGAGCTCACGGTTTTGCATTTTCTTTCACAGTAAAACATTTTCTGTGATGAGCTTCTATTGTGAGTGCAGCACTTTCCCTATGGTCAGTTCTCTTTAAACACTGTACCTCCTCCCAGGCAGTGCTTCTCTTTATCTTATCCTCAGGCTGTGTTTCCTGTTGTTTCCTATTTACAGAAGTTAGAAGAAGAGAGATGGAGACTTGGACCTCATAAATGGGTGTGGGCTGCCCACCAGGTCTTAGACCAGGTTGGCAGGAGGAGCCAAAACTGCTTCACTTCTTCTTACTTAGTGCATGAATGTGGTAGGGCTGGATTCACTTATACCACCGCTGGCAGCATCTCCAGACAGGGCAGCATTTAAATTCACCTAATTCCTGTCCACCCCTCTACCCGACCCCAAACCCAGCCTCCTGGTCATAGTCAACAAATAATATTTAGAATATGAAAACAGAAACAAAAACAAAAATGGCATAACAAGACAAAAATTACCCGGGGTCCCACAATTCTCAGACAACTGTTGCAGTTCACATTTCTTTGCAATAAAACTGCCACCCATTTCAGGAGGGTTCATGGTGCTTCTTAAACAGACCAGTTACTGTCCTGGTCCATTTGAGGTTGCTGTAAGAGAATACCACTGGGTGATTTATAAAAAACAGAAATTTATTTCTCAAAGTTCTGGAGGCTGGGAAGTCCAAGATCGAGGTACCAACTTCTGATGAAGGCCTTCTTCCTGCATTCTCACATGGCAGAAGAGCAGAAGAGCGCTAGAATAAACCCACTCCCACAAGCCCTTTTTATAGCAGCTTTAACCTATTAATGAGGAAAGAGCCCTCATGGCTTACACACCACCCAGAAGGCCCCAACTCCCAACACTGTTGGACTGGGGATTCAGTTTCCAGGACATGAATTGTGGGGGACACGGTCAGACCATAGTACCTACTAATTCATATATTCAACAAATATTCGTTAAGCACATACTTCTGACTAAGCAGCTCTTAGCACTTAGGCATACAATGATAAACAAGACAAACAAGTTCCCTGTCCCCATTTTAGTTGGGAAGGCAATCAGTACATAATTCAATTAGATAGTAGTGGGGGCTACAACAAATTGAAACAGGATACTGAGCTTGAGCATGACTGGGGAGGGAGTGAGGCTATTATAGGAAGGGTGACCAGAAAGCCTTCTCTTGGGACAGTGATATTAGTCTGAGGTCTGAGTGAAGAGAAGGTGCCAGTCATGTAAGACTGAGTGCAGAAGGCATCAAACCAGGGGAACAGTGAGTGCAAAGGCCCTGAGCTAGGATCTCAAGCTTTTTGAAGAGTAGACAGAAGGCCCTTCTGTCCAGAGGGATGTGGTAAGAGGAACAGTGGTAAGATATTTGGTCAAAGAGGTTGTCGGGGGCCAGATCTTGTAGAGTTCTGTAACCCATTTCAAGAAATTTAAGATTACATTCTATTTCCAGTATTTGCAATGGGAAATCATTGGGGGATTTTAATTTCAAAAGTAGACTGGGTGAGGTGGCTCACATCTGTAATCCTAGCACTTTGGGAGGCCAAGGCGGGTGGATCACGAGGTCAGGAGATTAAGACCATCCTGGCCAACATGGTGAAACCCCATCTCTACTAAAAATACAAAAAATTAGCTGGGTGTGGTGGCGGGCGCCTGTAGTCCCAGCTACTTGGAAGGCTGAGGCAGGAGAATTGCTTGAACTCAGGAGGCAGAGGTTGCAGTGAGCGGAGATCATGCCACTGCACTCCAGCCTGGGTGACAGAGTGAGACTTTGTCTCAAAAAAAAAAAAAAAGAGATATGACATCATTTTTATTGTTAAAAGATAAGCCTATAGTGTTGTAATGGGTTTAATGGTGACTCTAAAAAGATGGGTGCATACCCTAACCTCTGGAAACTGTGAATGTGGCCTTCTTTGGAAAAAACGTCCTTGTGGAAATAATTAAGTTAAGGATCTCCAGATAGGGTCACCCTGGATTATCCAGATGGGCCCTAAATCCAATGGGAAGTATTCTTATAAAAGACAGAAAAGGGGAAGAGACAGAGGGGGAAGGCATGTGGAGACAGAGGCAGAGATTGGAGTTATGCAGTCACAAGCTAAGGAAGCCTGGAGCCACTAGAAACTGGAAGAGGCAAGAAAGCCTTTTCCCCTACAGCCTTCGGAGGGACTGCTTCGAGGCACTGCTAATACCTTGATTTCAGATTTTTGCCCTGCAGAAATTTTGAGACAATACATTTCTGTTGCTTTAAGCCACTAAGTTTATGGTAATTTGTACAGCAGCCACAGGAAACGAATACCAGTGTCTCATAGGCTTGGCGTACATTAGGGGGTGGAGGATTGGAATCATGGGGGAAATAACAGAAGCTGATAAATTAATCCAAGAGAAAAATCACGTGGCTTGCATCAACAGCAGTGGGAATAGCGAGAAGTGCTCTATTTAGAACATTCTGAAAGTAGAACCAACAGGATGTGCTGATAGATTAGATGTTGGAGACAAGGGAAAGAAAAAAAAGCTTCTTGGTATTTGGTCTGAAGAACTAAACAGATTGCCTAATACTGTTACCTGAAATGAGGAAGACTAGGGGAGGGACAATTTGGGCTGAGGTTTTCAGGGTGAGAGGTGAGAGGTGATGGTGGGGATGGAGGTTGCCTAGGGTGTAACATGGTGAAGACTTCTTTCATGGACGTATTGATTTTGAGATGCCTACGTCACATTCAAGGTGGAAGTTTGAATAGGATGTCAGGTATGAATTTGGAGCTCAGAAAAGAGATGAAGGTCAGTAAGTTAGGAGTCATTTGTGTGTCGATCCATGAGTCTCAACCTTAGCTCTATAATGGAGTCTCTTGAAGAGCTTTCCAAAAAAGATACCCATACTTGTGCTCCATCCTGGGCTGATTAAGATGAAATCTCTAAAGTATTTAAGAACTCTCCAGGTGAGGCTAGGGGCAGCCAGGGTGGAAAAACCACAAATGTAAGCACCGTATTTAAAGGCATGGATCTAGACGGAATCACGCAGGGAGAGCTGCCTAGAGGATAAGATGCTGCTAATATGTCACAGGTAGACCAGACTGATCCTCCTCAGCTCTCAAGGTGGCCGCAGTTTTGGTGTTGGCACCATTATTATTATTATTATTATTATTATTTTGGTAGGCCATGAGGTGAAAGAGATAGGAAAAGCCGAGTGCAGGGAGTGAGAGCAGATGGAAGGTCTGAAGGCCGAGTCCTGGAGGGTTCTAATGTGGTGGGGTCACCAAGAAGAAAGAACCAACACGGGAAACAGACAGAAATTCTTGAACTGGGAGGTAGCAGTGAGAATGTGGCATGTGTGAAGCCAGAGGAAGAAAGTGTTTCAGGCAGAACAGGGGACTCAGTTTAGTCAAGTGGTCCTTAGAAGTTGAGAAAGATGAGGATAGAATTAATTCAGGGATTTGTGAAGATAGAAGCCACTGGTGGCCTTGAGACGACAGACCTGTTTGAGAAGAGCGGCTTGGATGGAAGCTCACATTGAACCAGCTGAGGGGAAGCGAGTGCATTTTGAGCCTATAGATCTTCCCACCAAACTCGAAGCAGTGAGTGACGCCTCTTATTGGCACATTGCTTCTGCTATTTCCCCTTAAAATCTGGCATTTCTGAGAGTTAGAAAATTTTATTCAAAGTGACTTTATTGAAGCAGATGTTTAATCTTCTGGAATGTAGTACATGGATCCACTTATTAATGTGTCAGTTTTATAAACGGCATGTCATCTGTGCTTCTGTTTCTTTCCTCTAAATCGTTTTCTTTTGACTTTGTTCCAGATGAAATCCTCTTGGTATTTTCCTGGGTATGTGTGATGGTTTAGCGTTGCTAGCCATTCATCTTGAGGGAGGCTGTTCTGGTTTAATGAATCACAGCTGCTTCAGACGTGAATGTCAGTGGTGCTGTCAAACCTCATTGCCTAGTATGTAGTTGGGGCTCAGGAAACATGAGTTGAAGAAACTTAGGGTGAAAGTAACCCTGTGGTGGACACTGCAGCTGCCTTGGGGAGGGTGAGGTGAATGTTTTGAGGTCTCTTCAGAGGAGGGCACAGGAGCCATGGCTGTGGATTGGAGAGTTTCTGCCCTTTACCAACTCCTGTCCTTGTTACCTGCTCATCGTCTGTTCAGTCCTCGGTGCTCTCCTTAGGGCCTCACGATGCTCAACAGGGAGGGAGGGCTGCCTTGTCATTTAAGTTTTGGCTATGAATTCTCTGCTCCACTCTGGCTGTCTGCTCTGGAAGGATCCTGGTGCATCCATGGTAGTTAACAGGATGTTGGAAGTCGGATTCAGCATGTGTGGGTGAGCTCCTGTAGCTTTAGTGAAATTGCGTTTTCTGGAGCACTGCACACCAGGAACAGGTTGGTAAGACCAGGAGGTGCTCCCTGGTCTGCACCCCTCCAGCCTGGCAGATGAGCCTGGGCTCTTCCAAGAATTCTGTTCCATGTTGCACAAGAGCTGACAGCTGATTTACTTTAAATCTCTGCAAACTGTACTGAGGAAAAAACCCCAAGTATATTCTCCTCCATCCATTTGGCCCCTGTGCTTTTGAATTGCTTATAGCCTGGGAGTTTGTGCTCTCAAAGAACATTCCAAAAATTTAATTCTTCCATCTGAAGATATTATGGAATCATCACAGATTTGGAGGGTTTCAAATTAAGAAATCACATTTGACTATACTTTAATGTTTTGTAAGTGCCATACCTCTGTATTCTAATTCATTTCCTGTTTATGTGGTAAGATATACTTGTAGTACTGTCTCTATAAAAGCAGAATTTTAAGGCATAAAGAAAATCTAGAACTTCCTACTGAGGTTGTCCAAATGAAAAACTGTGTTCCTATGTCCATATTTCCAAGCCGCAACTTTTTAACTTTTTATTATGGTTATTTTCGAACATATACAAAATAAGAGAGAATTAGATAACAAATACACAGTGCATACACAAGCCAGCTGTCAACTGTCTGAATCCTGCCATCCTTGTTTCATCCATCCCACATACCTCACCCACTTTCTTTTTATTTTTTTCTGGCATGTCAGTACATTTTTTTTTTAACCATGAGATGCTGTAGTAACATGGTCCCAAACTCTCCGTGGGTTATAATAACAAAGGTCTCTTTCTTTCTTGCTTGCTTGCTTTTTTTTTTTCTTCCCTTGAGACAGAGTCTCACTCTGTCACCCAGGCTGGAGTGCAGTGGTGTGATCTTGGTTCACTGGGCAACCTCCACCTCCTAGGTTCAAGCCATTCTCCTGCCTCAGCCTCTTGAGTAGCTGGGATTACAGACGCGCACCACCACACCCGGCTGATTTTTGTATTTTTAGTAGAGATGGGGTTTCACCATGTTGGCCAGGCTGGTCTCAAACTCCTAACCTCAGGTGATCCACCTGCCTTGGCCCCCCAAAGTGCTGGGATTATAGGCGTGAACCACCATGCCTGGCCAACAAAGGTCTATTTCTTGCTCAAGTCACATGTCCTTTGTGGGTACAGGGGCCCTTGCTCCATACCTTCTTTATTCTGGGACCAAGCTGGAGAGATGAGTCTCTATCTGTGGAAGACCTTGGAAGACCCCACTCAGGGTTGTTCTGAAAGGGATCTCACATGGATTGAGCCATAACCTAGAGCCAAGAGAAGCCAGATTTGCTAGGAGAAAGTCCTGTCAGCATAGTCAAACACTTAGGAGGAGTAAAAAGGTGTATTTTTCTGCATAGATGGTGTGATCACATTTTTATCAATTAATCTGCACCCTAGGGACAAAGAGTTAACATTTGAATTTTTCTCAGTAAGAATCTACTCCTCAGGGAAAGTTAGCGTTTGAAAAACTCTAACTAGAAATCCACTTTCCAGAGGCTGTCTCAGCAAGTGCTTAAGTATCTAGACTAGAAATTCCCTTCATAAGCATGAGGAGTGCTGGAAGTGATTTTTCATTGGTGAAATGGGTGGTTTTCAAGTTATGTAGATGGACTGGAGATATTTTTCCTCTACTCTTGCATGAAGAAATATGTCTTAATGTAGATAGACTGGAGATATTTTTCCTCTACTCTTGCATGAAGAAATATGTCTTAATCCCTTTGGATTGCTATAACAAATTACCTTAGACTGAGTAATTTATAAAGAATACATTTGTTTCTTCTGGTTCTGGAGGCTGGGAAGTCCAAGATCAAGGTACTAGAAGCTTTGGTGTCTGATAAGGGCTTGCTCTCTGCTGGTGCCTTGTTGCATCCTCATGTGGTGGAAGGGGCAAATAGGCTCCCTCTGCCCTCTGATATAAGGGCACTAATCTCATTCATGAGGGCAGAATCCTTATGACCTAATCACCTCCCAAAGGCCCTACCTTTTAATACTATTGCATTGGGGATTAGGCTTTAACATATGAATCTGGAAGTTGGGGGAACACAAACATTCAGACTGTAGCAGGGAATGAAATCTTTGGGCACCCAGCAAATGGATATCTTTAAGAACAGGATTCTAGGTCTAGAACACCATCCTCTTCTGTGTTCTGCCACTAAATGATGGGTCCTGAGGGTTTTATCTCCTGATTTGGTTAGAAGATTGTTGAATCTGGCTGTGAGAGCCTTTCAAGTGCCTAAAGGAGAGAGCTTGAACTTCCCTGAGAGTACACCAGGTGATGTGACACTTTCTTGTCCTTGTAATATGCCACCTAGAAGAGAACTTTTAGGAGAGGAGACCTACAGTTCTCACCAACCTTTAATCATTAGAATTTACCAGCATCTACTGATAAGAATGTGATCTTGGTGAGCAGCTATCATAGTGGGTCAGTTTGCAATGAGGGGAGTAAGAATTTGAGAGAGCGCATTTGGATTTTTCTGTTGGGGAGTCATTGTAGTCATTCTAAACTACAGAGTGGCCACACAGTTCCTCTATATCAGATTCGTTCCCAAGCACTGTTGTTAAGTCTTTAATTACTGTCAGGGACCACTTTAATAACATCTGTTAGTGTGGGAGAAGGTCTCTTAAAGGACTTGGGGAATATTAAAACGTGTGCAGAGAACAGAGGGGAGCATATAGTTCATTTGTAACTAGTATAGCTAGGAAGAGTGTGGCCAATATGAAAGGGTGTGCCTATTGTGGAGATAATTCAATTAGTTTTTTCTTTCCACAGCAATAGAAGAGTTTAACTTCATGGTACTTCCTATGTGCAGCGTCTGTACTAAATGTTTTACATGGATTGTTTCATTTAACCCTCATAACACCTGCATGAGATAGGAAATAGTCTTCACATTTGACAGATGAGGAAACTAAGGCATCAAATTTTTCAGGGAGACATAGCTAATAAGAAGCAGAACCAGGATTCAAATTTAGCAAATGTGATTCCTCAGCCCGTTCCCCTAAATAAAGTCTTTCGAACAATAGAAAAAAAAAAAAAAACTGTTGACTTCATTTCAAGAGTGTCTTCCTCCAAAAGATACAGAGATTCCCACCAGGGCAAAATGGACGCCACGTTTCCCTCCCGGGGGCACCAGAAGCCTTAGCAGGTGGCTGCTCTGAGTTCCTGTGGATGGAGGCTCAGAGGTTGGGTTTGATTCTACAGAGCATCCAGGGTTCCCGCATCCCTTTACATAATACGAGAATTTAGGACTACTTTGCTTTCTAGTCTCAGTTAAGCTTTGGGACCAAGCAAGAGCTATATTCATTACTTGCAGGTTTGGAGTGTGGAAATTCAGCATCAAGTAAACGGTGCGTCTTCTTGTCATCCAGCGTTTGCCCCCATTACCTCTGCAATCTGTCTTCCATTGGGTAAAGTGTGCCCAACTGTTCTTGAAGGAAAAGAAATCTAAATCCTGAGTTGCCTGCACAGCATCTATGCCCCAGGGAAAAATGCCTACAGCACGAATTTAAAAACCTCATTCTAAAAGTGCATTACTGAAAAGGCTTTACAGTATAATAACTTTTAAACCTAAGGGTAGTGATGGCTGCAGGATAATTATGTCAAACCTGAAAGCAAACCCAGAGGAGGTGGCATGTGGAAGAAATACCACTTTGGTTAATAGATTTGCAACCTCGTTTAAAATATTGAGGCTTTAGGAAAAACTAGATTTATCCTCTCTGTTAGCTTCTTTATCTTATCTTCACTCTGTTGTCCTGTTGTTAAAATTTCTAAGAAATGGTAAAGAAAGTGAGAGGGGAAAATATCAAAAAGAAAGAAAAAGGGGCATACTAGAACATAGTATATGATTCTCCCTTTGCTATTCTGTTTTATGCAATAATCAGGGTCAGGTTTCTAACTCTCTCTTCGAATGTCCCAGATAGAAAGGTGGGTCTGTGTTTGATAGACAGGCAGATGGGAGCAGGACGTGTGCAGTGTGCTGACTCCTACACAGAAGTGGAGGTAGGTGCTGTCAAATGCATGGCAGCAGGAGCTGGTGTGAGAACGCCAGGACACGTTGATGGCATTGCCTCATCTCTGGCAGGCTGCTGTCTCCTACAAGACGTTTATGTGGATTACATTCACATGAGGTTGTATAAACCCTCTTATTCCTATTCTCATGGAATTGGGAACAGGAAGACAAGGGATGACCTGGACATTTCATTTAGATTAGACCAAAGGTGAACAAAGGTGATGAGGCAACAAAGGTAGCCTTTACCTGAGAGTAACCCCAAGGCAGAGGCCACCATGAGTTAAAAGCAAACAGGGCCAAGCAACAATCAGGCTCAGATCCAGGAAGGACTGGACAAGTGTTCTGAAGCTGTAGCCTAATTCTTACTGAAGGCCATGGGATCATGGGGGCTGAGACCTGTTTTTCCTGGGAGCTCCTGCTTGGGTGGGTTAGATCTTTGGTTGTTGTCTTAGGTCCATTCTATCTCAGAGTAAATTCTGGAAACATCCAGGGATTTCTTTCTCCAGCTTTTGTTTTCTACATTGGCCATCACCCCTCTTTGATTTTTCCTTGTTCTTCCTTACCGCTACCCCTGAGGCCAGACATAATAGATTGATAAACCCATGGTTCAAATCCTGCCCCCATCATGCATCTGCTTTCAGATCTTTGGAAAACTATTTAACCCCCTAGTCTCTTTATCTGTAAAATAGGGATATGCATACTTATCTGAAAGAGCTGCTGTGAAGATTAAAGGAGGTTATGCCTTTAAAGCATAACATACCGAATGCTTTCCTTTCATTTTTTCATTGGAATGCTCTTCACAGGTCTGGAGTGAGGGGGAACAAGAGTTAACAAGTAACAAACATGGGGGTGATTTAAAGGTTTCAGGAGCTCATGCTGTTCATGCCATAACTATCCATAGACCACATTCCCTGACTTTTTCCTAAATGCTTTCAAGCACGTCTCCCCTGTAACTATCCAGTACACTGGATGCTTCCTGGTTTGGTTACTAGAACAAGCTCCTCAGGGTTGGGTTGGGACTGTTTCTAGGCCATGCTGGTGGACATGCCTTTGCAGAGCTTGGCTCTGGTCACACACTCCTTCTGTATTATCTTTTTATTCTGATGCTTTGACATCTTGGGTTTTGCTGACACTGAAGGAACTGCCCTTCCCAGGGCTGGCCAATTCCTAAGGACAGTAAAGGACTCACCTGTGAGCATGCCTTTCCTATGCAAACTGAACACTCTGGAGCCCCATCCCCCAGCCACCTTCTTTATCAGGCTTTCACCTTCTGAGCCACTAATTCTCTGCCTCAGTCACCCCAGAGCCTGGTACCAGACAACTGGGACAACTCCTATATTCCAAAGCTTGCTGAAATGATTCAAACTAGCTAACCCTAAACCTGCTTATGCTGCTTCACCCATTTATTCCTGCAGAAACCACAGTAAAGTTCCCCCCTTGATTCCTTTGTGTCCTGACCAACTGATGTTTCCCTAGGTGCCCCCACAGCATGGCATGGCATGCCCCACTTTTGAAACCTGAACAAGCTGTCTTTTCAATTACAGATATCCCCTGGTCTGTTGGCCTCACTATACCTGAATAATAATAAAACTTACATTTTGAAACCTCTTCCCTGACTGATGGTTAATTGTTGTGTCAATTTGACTGGGCTAGAGGATGCCCAGGTAGCTGGTAAAACATTACATCTGGGTGCATCTGTGAGGGTGTTTCTGGAAGAGATTAGCATTTGAATCAGTAGACTGAGTAGAGAAGATCCATCCTCACCAAGGTGGGTAGGCGTTATCTAATTCATGAAGGGCCTGAATAGAACAAAAAGGGAGAGAAAGGGCTATTTGTCTTTTGTTGAGTTGAGACTTCTCTCTTCTCCTGACCTTGGACTGGGAGTTATGTCATTGGCCTCCATGGTTCTCAGGCCTTCAAACTTGGGCAGAATGGTACCACCGGCTTTCCTGGTTCTTCTGCTTGCAGACGGCATGCCAAGGGACTTGCTGGCTTCCGTAATTGGATAAGCCAATTCCCATAATAAATCTCTTCTTATATATCTATATATATCCTATTGCTTCTGTTTCTTCAGAGAGTCCTGACAAATATAAAGATTGATACCAAGAAGTGGGAGTGCTTCTAACGAATGTGGAAGTGGCTTTGGAAATGGGTAATGGGTAGAAACTGGAAAGAGTTCGGAGGTGCACACTAGAAAAAGCCTACATTGCTGTGAATTGACCTTTAAAGGTGATTCTGGTGAAGGCTCAGAAAGAAAAGAGGAGAGCTATAAAGAAAGCCTTAATCCTCCTAGAAAATACCTAAGTGATCATGAACAGAACGTTGGCAGAAATATGGGTAATAAAGGCCAGTCTGATAAGGTCTCAGAGGGAAATGAGGACCATGTTATTGGACAATGGAGAAAAAGCCATCGGGGTGGGGGGGAAAGGGAAGGGAGAGCATCAGGACAAATACCTAATGCATGCAGGGCTTAAAACTTAGATGACAGGTTGATAGATGCAGTAAACCACATGTATACCTGTGTAACAAACCTGCACGTTCAGCACATATATCCCAGAACTTAAAGTAAAAGAAAACAAATTTTTTTAAAAAGCGTCAGAGAACTTGGCTGAATTGTGCCTGTATTCTAGTGTTTTGCAGAAGGTAGAGCGGTGAACACTGAAATTACATATTTGGATAAGGAAATTTCTAGGCAAAGTGTGAAAGTTGTGGCTTGGCTTCTCTTGACAGCCTACATTAAAATGTGAAAAGAGAGAAAAGATTTAAAGACAGAATTGTTAATCAAAGAGAAGCAGCACTTAAAGATTTGGAAAATTCTCACCCTAGCCATATTATGAAGAATGAGATAACGGGTACAGTGGTTCATGCCTGTAGTCCTAACTGTTAGAGAAGTGGAGGCAGGAGGATCCCTTAAACCCAGGAGTTTGAGACTTGTCTGAGTAACATAGTGAGAGTCCATCTCTTAAAAAAGAATAAATAAATAAATGAGAAGGCACATTGGGAAAGAACACCAAGGGTGCGGCCAAATGACCATCTGATAAGGAGATTAGTCAACCAAGTGGAACCTGTTGCTCAAGGTGATTCAGAAGTAATTGGGGCTGCCACCTCCATCACAGCTCCAATGTGCAAAAGCTTGAGCAGGCAAGCATGGGACCTCCACAGAGAGCCCTTACTAGAGCAACATCCAGGATAGCCGAGTGGTAGGACCACCCCAGCAGCCCCAGACCTGTAGAGTCATAGACACGATTCTAGCTCTTGGAGCCACAAGGGCACAGAGCAACCTTTGGGGAGGGCCACCACGCCCGTGGGTTGGGAAAGCAGGACCACAGCCCTAGTGGGCCTGGGGGACAGAGCATTGAGCCAAAGAAGATTATTCTCCAGACAAAATTTTGGACTTTGCTAGGGACCTATCCTTTCTTCTTTTCTTTCTTTCTATTCTTTTCTTTCTTTTGAAATGGAAATGTCTATTCTATGCCTGTCCCACCATTGTATTTTGGAAGCCCCTTGACTTGTTTAATTTCACAGGCTCACAGCTGGAGGGGAAATTGCTTCAGAATGAATCATACCTTGCGTCTCACCCATATATGATGTAGGTGCTGTTTAAATGAGACTTTGGACTACAGACCTTCAAGTAGATACTGGAATGAGTTAAGATTTTTGGAACCATTGGAATGGACTGAATGCATTTTGCGTGTGAGAAGGACATGAAATTTTGGGATGCCAGGGGTAGAATGTTATGGTCTGAGTGTTTGTGTCTCTCCCAAATTTATATGTTGAAATCCTAACCCCCACCCTCTCAAGGTGATGGTATCAGGAGGTAGAGCCTTTGGGAGGTGATTAGGTTATGAGGGTGGAGGCCTCGTGAATGAGACTCGTGCCTTTATAAAAGAGACATAAGAGGGACTCCTTCCTCCTTCTGCCTTGTGAGATTAGAGTGAGAAGTCTATGAGGAAGCAGCCCTCACCAGACACTGAATCTGCTGGTGCCTTGATCAGAGACTTCCCAGCCACTAAAACTGTGAGAAATACATTTCTGTTGTTTATAAGCCTGTGGTATTCTTTTGTAGCAGCTTGAACAGACTAAGATACCCTTGGATGAGGAGCAACTGAGGTAAAGTGGGAAAAAAAAAAAACGGCTCCAATGCCAAGGGCATACTGGACAGCTCTTTAACTTATGCTTGGTGGTTGCTTCTCATCATTTTCAGTTAATCGTAAAGCATTCTACTTTTGTGGATTTCAAGTCCCTAGGAAAGGATGCTGAAGGAAACGACAGTTTTGTGAGACCATCAGTAATTGTAATGTTGACACCTCTGCATTCAAATGGGTTACAGGATTAAACAAGTGTCATCCAAAGGACCATCAGGATGGCTAGATAACAGAAAAGAGAGTTTCACTGGCAATACTGGTTTACAAACCTGGAAGAGAGAGTCTCCGGTGTGAACTGAAAATGCTCTCTCTGAAGAACAAAGAGAAGGTTAGAGGTTTTATAAAAAGGAGAAATGTTGCATATTGCTCTTTGAGAAGTTTCATTGGCACCAGTAAGGTTTTGAGGAGCTGGCAGGCTTCAACTGATAAGTGAGGGTGGTGCGTAAACCCAGTCTGAGAGTTGCAGCAGGTCGTCTCAGTAGTCGTTAGACAAAACTGGTTTCAGGTTACTGCAGGCAGTGTCAGCTGCCAGGCCTGCAGAAAATTATGTTTTTTGGAGCAATGTTCTTCACCCTGAGTGCTTTTTCCCCTTGGCTTATTGATTCTTTGTTGGGTATGACAAGAATGACTCATTTCATGTGATCAGCTTTCACACAAGGGTGACAAAGCTTCAATTATTTATTTCTTTATTATTTATTTATTTAATTTGGGACAGAGTCTCTCGTCGTCTAGGCTGGAGTGCAGTGGTGCATGATCATGGCTCACTGCAGCCTCAACCTCCCAGCCTCAATTGATCCTCCCACCTCAGCCTCCCGAATAGCTGGGACTACTGGCACATGCCACCATGCCCAGCTAATTTATTTAGTTTTTGTATAGACAGAGCTCACTATGTTGACTAGGGTGATCTTGAGCTCCTGGCCTCAAGCAATCCTCTCACCTCAGTCTCCCAAAGTGCTGGGATTACAGGTGTGAGTCACCATGCCCAGCCCAAAGCTTCGTTTTAAGTCTCTTTTATTTACTTTTTTTGGTCCTAGTCATAACACATTGTAAATATACTCTGTCAGAGAATTAGATAGCTTGTTGTTTTTTAAGTCTTTTCTAATTAATCTGTTCATGTAATTTAGTAAGAAAATATTAAAGGGAAATCTTGCCCGAGAGATGGCCAGTACTGAGTAAGAAGCCCATTTGGTTTGTGTCTGGGAGGATGGGCAGTGAGGATGAGTGAGGATGAGTTTAATTTAGCTTGGTGAGAGGGGGACAAATCCACCTTTTCACGAGAGCTGCTTTCTCATCGCTTTTTGTCCCCCTTCATCCACAACCCCCGCAGCCAAGGCAGTGTCAGTAAATTTTGGGATGGAAAAGCCTTAGGTAGGATTCTTATGTTTTCGAAATGTGACTGATTGGAATTGGGGGAAAGCTGTATTAAAATTGGATATGTGGTAAAAGCTGGATATGTGGTTATTACCCATATCCAGTAGTGGGTCATGTTCCTGTGCTACCATGATCTGCCCGCAGTAACCTAGCAAGACATCAAATCACAGTGTGCAGTAGATGGTACCGTTGAACAAGCCAAGCCATATTGTCTGCAGGGATCTGAGATGATAAAGAGATTATTACAGAATTTGTTTTCATAAGGAACTGTGTAATTATGATGATTAGCCAAAGAAATAAGAAAGAAAGAAAGAGAGAAAAAGAAAGAAAAGAAAAGAAAGAAAAAAGAAAAAGGAAAGACGAAAGAAAAGAAAGAAAGAGAAAGAAAAGAAAGAAAGAGAAATAAAGAAAGAAAGAGAGAGAGAGAGAAAGACAGCCTGGTCTGTTACCTATGCTGTCCTACTATAGCATTTAATATCTTACTGCAAATTTTACTAAGTTATAACTTAAAAGTGTTAATTTTTTTTTTTATCACTTTGACAAACTTAGCCTCCTACAGCAGAAGGTGACTGATCAAAAGCTGGACTGTCAACCAGGTACTCACCAGCTTAGAGAGAATGGAGAAAAGGAGTATAAAGAATTTGAATAATTGTATGTAACATACGTGTTTCTTTTGAAATTTCAGTTTTAGGAAGCAAGGCCTGATGAGATGATCTTCATTTGTGAGAGTATGCAGAGGGTGGTGTGAAAAGACATGGCAGGGATTCGTATTTTTAAAATGGATGGAAAAACAGTTCTAAAAATATGAAAAAATAAGGACAAATAATCATAATTTAAATTCTCAAGCTAAGAAAGGTTCAACACATTTCAAAGTTAAATTGTAAACAGTGTTAGGGAAAAGAAACCATACAGAAATGGGACAACAGGGATCCATTAGAGTTGGATATCATTCATTTACTAGTTTGAGGGGCAAAATAAATAATTATATGTGTTTTTAAATCATAGAGAATGAACCCTGAAAATGTTTAATGCTTAGAAAAGAAAGCATGTATAATAGAAATTTTAATTTGGCCAAATTGCTTACTTTAAAATTAGAAAATTCGATTTTTTTGATTGCATAATTTTGGACACATAATTAATAAGCAGGTAGATTAAAAGGAAAAACCTACATATTAAGCAAGAATCATCTAACAAAAACAGTTCCTTATATAAGAGACTGTATGCTAACTCCTAGATGCCAAGAGAGAAAATGAGACTACATGAGACTACAGTCAAGCGTCACCTAACGACAGGGATACGTTCTGAGAAATGCATCCTTAGGTGTTTTTGTCATTGTGTGAACAACGTAGAGTGTACAAAGCTGAATGCTATAGCATATTGCTCTAGGTTACAAACTTGTATATCATGTTACCGTACTGAAGACTGTAGGCAAGTGTAACACATGGTATTTGGAGATCTAAATATATCCAAACCTAGAAATGATACAGTAAAAATACAGTATAAAAGATTTTTTAAAATGGGACACCTGTATGAGACACTTAGCATGAATGGGGCTTGCAGGAATTGAAGTTGCTCTGGGTGAGTGAGTAAGTGGTGAGTGAATGTGATGGCCTCGGAGATTACTGTTCACTACTGTAGACTTTCTAGACACTGGACACTTAGGCTAAGTTCAGTTATTTAAAATTGTTTTCTTTCTTCAATTTATTTTCTTTCTTTAATTTATTATATTAATCTTAGCTTTTGTCACTTGTTTACTTTATAAACTTTTTAATGTTTTTAATTTTGATTCTTTTGTGATAACGTTTAACTTAAAACACGAACATGTTATACTGCTGAAAAAGTATTTCCTTTATATTCTTATTTGGTAAGCTTTATTTTTAAATTTTTCAGTTTTTTTTTACTTTTTAGATTTTTTTTGTTAAAAACTAAGACACGAACACACACACTAGCCTAGGCCTACACAGGGTCAGGATCTTCCACCCGCACATCTGTCCCACTGGAAGGTCTTCAGGGGCAGTAACACGCATGGAGCTGTCATTTCCTATGATAACAATGCTTTCTTCTGAATTCCTCCTGAAGGACTTTCCTGAAGCTGGTTTACATTTGACATTTTTTTTATTTTAAATATTTTTTATTAAAAAAAATGTCAAATGTAAACCAGCTTCAGGCAAGTCCTGTAGAAGGAATACAATCTAAAATAATGATAAAAATTAGTAAAAAATTGTAACTATATAAACCAGTAACAGTCATTTATTATCATTGTCAATATATATACATACACTATAATCGTATGTGCTATACTTTTATGCAAATAGCAGCGCAGGAGGTTTGTTTACACCAGCATCACCACAGACACTTGGGTAATGCATCGCCTTATGATGTTACCATGGCTACGACATTGCTAGGGGATGGGAGTTTTTCAGGTCTGGTATAGTCTGATGGGACCACTGTCATATATGTGGCCCATTATTGACTGAAACGTCGTTATGTGGTACATTGACTACACTGCCGGCAAGCTCCTATTTAAGTAAACAAACACAATAAACACAAACAAACATGAGAAGTCCAGAAGAAAGGCCAAGGATGATAAGAGAACCTTCTTAGGAAAAGGAAGCTACATCAGGGCAAGGGGCTGGTTCTCACCTGGAAGACACAGTACTGCACACTGCAGCCAGATGAGTGCCATTTTCATGTTTCAGAATGGAGCCATCTCCAGGATATACTGTTAAAAGAAAACTCCTAACAGTAACCTCTGGAGAGAACTAGAATTGAAGAGGACATGAGTAGTCAAGGGGACATTTGCTGCATCAGTGTTGTTTGAATATTTTACAATGAAAATATACTTATATATTGAGTAATTTATAATCATAATGTACAATTTTGATTTCTACTTTTACCTGATATTTACGTTAATGTCTTTAGAATATAACTCATTCTTTGGGCTGTTGGACATCCTATCTTACTTAGCTGGTATCTCTGCAATTAGATATTTATTTATAAACAGGGATTCCTTGAGAGTTATCGTTTACATTAAATAGTTAAATAGGAAGATAAGTATTTTATTGGAATTTAGTTTATGCTTATATCACTGATATTAATTATTGCCACAGAAACTCTACTTTTGAAGATCACCACTAATTTGTTATGTTTCATGTTTGTTTGTCACAATTTAGGGACAGTCTTCATTGATGACCTTACTATTTACCACAGAAGTTCATCTATGTGGCTCCAAACTCTATTTCAAGAATATGAAAGGCATGTAGGTTATGCCTACGTTCTCGGACCCTTGATAGATGTTTTGCTGACCCACCTTCTGATATCTGTAGAGTTACCCTAGGCTCCACCTTCCACCAACCAGTTCTGTGTGTGAGTTGCACGGTCCTTTGTTCATTACTAAACGTTGTTTTTGCGCTCTCCTGTCCTCTCATTTCAGTCTCACTATCTTAGAATCAGCTTCACGGAACCACAGGAAAGACATCATTGTTCTTCTTTTGCAGGTAGCGAGTAACACCACCCTCTCACTGAGAGCACCTAAGAAATAATGTTAGGACTTGAGTTGACTTTTGATGCATCCGTGTCCTTTGTATCATATAATATATCTGGATTGGTAGAGTGCAAAGATTATGGGCTCAACTTGTTATTTGTATGACTTTGAGCAAATTGTCTAAACTCTCAAATACTCAGTCTTTTTATTTATAGAGTAGAAATAACAACTCTAGGATTTGGAAATTGTTATGAAGGTTCACAATTATTCTGCATACACTACAGCTTATACACATATGGCAAGCAGCTAGGTGTGGCTGTTTTTATTGAGTGTTTTGAGCCCGTTTCCCTCCTTTCCAGAACCTACCTCCTCAGACTGATGGATGCATGATGAGTTCCCCTTGCCTAAGTTATTATTTCTAATCGTTCTTTCACTGCGCTGCCATTTTTAGTGGAAACTTCATTGCAAAAAGTGCAAGGTTCTCATCTGTGGAACTTGAGTTGTTTGCTGGCTCCCCTAGCTTTTAAGTGTGGTGTATTAATTTAGTCCCTCTCTCAGATGTCCACTATAAGGTAAAGAATTGATGCCATGTCCCAACTAGGAATGCCATTGCCTCTCTGTCTTTGCTTGTTAGCAAGAAACGATTCATGAATGAGTAGAAACAACAATAAGTGTTTAGAAAAGTATTAAATGAATGAGGCAGTAAAAAGTGATCCCAAGAAAATCCTAGACCACTTGCACCTGCCATGACTTGTTACCTCTGTGACCTCTTACCATCTGTGCCTCCTTGGTCGCGTGTATTGACTGTAGCCCACTTTCATTCTGTCAGCATTTCTCTTCAGTCTATTTAGAGCTCCCTTGAGCCTTCTCTCTCTGGCAAACTTCTTTTTATAACATAAGCAAAATAACGGAAGATGTACATTCCTTGTTGTGTGCATGGCATGGATGGGAAGGATGAACGGAGTTTATCCATGAAAAGTATGGCTGTCAAAAAAGGGAATTATGAAGACATGTTGTATGCAAGATATCTTGAAGTTAACTTTTTAAAAATATGAAACAACTTATTTCCAGCAAAGTGCAAAATGAAAATCACAGAAAAAGTCAACCTGACCTGAAGCTTATTCATCACCGTGCAATGAGTTTCACCATACAGTGAGTTTCTGACCCATGTGACATTGAAGTCACTAACAGCACCGGTGTTACGGTTCACTGTAGATTGGACAGCACTGTGTTTGGGGATCCTGGAGAAATTTAAAGTAGGAGAGGATGTGGTCTACCTCCAGGGCCACACAGTCCAGCGGGAAAGAGATAATTAATAAGCTGAAGTCGAGGACTGCAAAGTAAATTCTGTTTTACAGAAGGGGAAACATTGCGACTGATTTCAGTATCTCTGCTGAGGTGGAGAGGCTGAGGTTCTTCTTTCGTAGCTGCTGCTGCTGCTTCTTCTTCTTCTCCTTCTTCTTCTTCTTCTTCTTCTTCTTCTTCTTCTCCTCCTCCTCCTCCTCTTCCTCTTCTTCTTCTTTTTGCATGTATCAAGCTAACTTAATGGAGAATGTATACATTGTTCCATATCATACTAAATAATGCAAATAAGTGATACTGTTACAGACTCAGGGTCACAACGTGGGGCCATTGTAAGCTACACCTTTCTCAAAAGCATCTGGTGTATGTGAAGAAGTTGCATATCAGTGACTTGCTCTGATGTACTCTATAGGAGCCCAGAAAGGTTCTCTGTCTTGGCCCTCATTAAGGAGCATTTAAATACCAGAAAAATCTAGCGAAGCATAGCCCCTGATTGGATATTAGCCAGCATAGTGTCAGGGCTGTTGTAATTAGAGTAGCCAGATGGGAAGGCAAATTTAGTAGGGGACTGTCATCATTACAACCACCCATTATACGTATACTCATACATGCCTCACAGATGCAAGCTCATAACAGGAAACCCAGCAGTTGTGGAGTAGGAGGCTAGAATACAAGAACATTAGTGAGTGAGAGCTTTGCCTCAGGATTATAACTAATTTTGAGGTCAGTTTTTTCAGCAGTCTTTGTTATGTTCAATCTTTTGGTTCCAAAAATTATGTGATGACTGGCCTTAAAAAAATGTAACCCAAGTAAGCCTGGTCTATTAACATTTTGCTAAATTCTTCGTGGTTTGTAATGGAGTTAAATATGATTATAAGATTTAAAAATATGAATTTTGCTTCATGATCTATCTGAAGGTTCAATTGACTGGACTTGAGTAAATTATTCACGACTTCATTAAAATTCAATAGGACTGAAAGTTTCCGTCAGATGCATTAAGCCGTCTACTGCAAACGAAGCGCTGTGTTGTAGTTGGTGCAGAGGGTGGTTTACTCAATGTGGCCTGTGCTAAGTGTATGGAATGCAAATGAGATGTAAATTTTATATTTTACTTTCCATTACCAAAAAATTATTTATGTACACATCAGGAGAGGAAAATTACTTTCAGTAAGGATCTGCGTGGTGGTGATTTTTAATCTCTTAGTGGGAATATATAATATTTTTACAGTACTAGCATAAAAATGCCATTACTGCAGAGAGAGGTCTTAGAGTCTTATAATGATTATCTTCATTGCTTGGAGATAACATTTTAGTAAATGAGATTTAGTTAACATTCTAATGAAAAGAGCTATCATAATTTGAGAGAAAATTCCTAAGCTAAAATATTTTTAAACTAGAAGTTTGTTTACTTTTTTTTCTCTACTAGAACCTAAATTATGTAATTTATTGCAACAGATGGTATGGAAAATTTGGATTGTGTGTTACAGTTTTAGTAAAGCTGATTTATAAAAATTTATAAAAAGGCTACCAAAAAAAGTAATAAAATCATAGACTTAAAGGCCTTCGTGGAGTCCAACTGACTCAGCTGATCTTATGTTTTCTCGACAAAATCAGTGCCAAAGCTAAATTCATCTCTTGCAGTTTCTGTTTGACCTTCTGGTCATGTGAGCACTGTTGTTAATATCTCCTAACACTTTCAGTCACAAGCTGGTAACTACATTTGCGAATCGCTTTTCAGTTGGCTTTTTTTTTGCGGGGGGGTGGGGACAGAGTCTCGCTGTGTCACCCAGGCTGGAGTGCAATGGCGCGATCTCAGCTCACTGCAAGCTCCGCCTCACGGGTTCAAACAATTCTCCTGTCTCAGCCTCCCAAGTAGCTGGGATTACAGGTGCCCGCTACCATGCCCGGCTAATTTTTGTATTTTTAGTAGAGATGGGGTTTCACCATGTTGGCCAGGCTAGTCTCAAACTCCTGACCTCGTGATCCGCCCGCCTCGCCCTCCCAAAGTCCTGGGATTATAGGGGTGAGCCACCGTGCCCGGCCTTCAGTTGGCTTTTTTATGGTTAAATAAAGTTCCATTTTTCAGATTCTATTTCCAGATCTCTGCAATCATCGGATCATCCCTCCTTGGTGCCTCGCTGAAGTTGTAGCTCCCATTAGTTCAGGTGGTTCTGTAATATCAGCTGCCTTCCTCAGAACGAGTCTCATTCTTCCTTCACATATTTTTTTTTCTCAAAATGAAACATTCAAAGGCTCCTGCTTCCATATGTAGCATGAACATTATTTGGCACCATCCTTCATGTTATTCTCAAGGCACTCTCCAACTTGCCCATTTCCCTCTTTCAATATGATGCCCAAAATTAGTCACCGCATTCCAGGAGCAGTTGGGTGTGCAGGGACCAGATGGATTCAGGAGCCAACACTCAGAACAAGAGTAGTTCTTAACCATTTGAGGACGCGTACCCCTTGAGAGAATCAAAGCCCTGGAATCTCTCCATGGGAAAGTGGATGTACAATCTCAGAGGATTCCTGGGCCTTGCCGTAGTTCATTCATAAACTGTGTACCTTCTGGGACAGTGGGTCAAGAACCCTGCCTCTGCCGTGGTGAGGCCGTACATGGGAATAATCAAGGAAGCTTTTTAATAACCACACACACTTGTATAAGCCTTAAGTATAAGGCAGAGAATTTGGGGGATTTGCAACTAAGGAGTTTGTTTATTTTTAAGCTGAGTGTATTTTAGAGATCAGATTTTGAAACTACTTTTCAATTATAATCACCTGTGTGGATTTTTCTCAGAATCCAATTTCATTTAAAAAAAATGTATTTAGCTGGCTTTTTCCTGAATTGACTTGTTCAGACATGTTAGTTCTTTTAAGATGAAGTGCTCATGAGATTTTAAAAATAGCCACCAGGCCCCATGCCCAGCTGGGTTCTCTGTTGGCGTTGGTTGGATGAAGAGTCCCCTGATTAGCTAGATTTGGGAAAAACTTCAACCAGGTAGAAAGTAAAACAGACATGTGTTTCAACCACTGGTCCTAATGTAATTTTTTCAATGTTTGTGGAATTTATGACATCTTTGAAAATACAGAAATGACCGGGGGGTGGGGGAAATGTGTCAGTTTATGAATGTGCCATTTAACCAGATAACTGGGCAAAATATTTTACAAGAAGTATTCTCATGAGCGGTACAGAGTAAGAGATAACCACGTCCATGCACATTTGTGCCTTTCCATAGTGTCACACTTTTACTGATGCTATTTCAGTCACAAAAGCCAGGAGCTGCATGGAATTCCAAGGAGGGAATTCTCCCTAGTACCTTCTGTTCACTCGGTAGTCAGAGCTGCAGGCACACAAGCCACTTCACAAGTCAATTGTATTGCAAGCCATACATAATAGTATACTTAATCAATAGATAAGTGTTACAGATCAAACATTTCACAACAAACAAAGTAACATATAACATCAAGAGAAAAGGGACAAGAAGAAGGGTTAACAAACCAGTCAAGGGAGACTGGGAGAGCAACAAAGACCCAAAGAATCCCCTGGTCGGGGCCAGGCAAGTGGTCCACAGGTTTTGCAACAAAGAGTCTTCAGTGGGGGCAGAGCCTTCCCGGCAAATGCCAAGTGCTAATCACAGTTGACAGCAAGGCAGTGTCAGTTGAGATGGCCGTTTTGAGCTACCAATGTCCTGCTCTTTTTATGGCCACAGAGTCCTCTGGCGAGGACTGATAGTGACAGAATGTGCTTGTTTTTGCCCTTATCTGGTTGGATGCAGACTTTATTTATTAAGCATAACATCTTGTCCACGTTGGCAAAGTGCCCTATGAAATGTAAGATGGAGTCTTTTTCTAAGATGGAGTTACTCATGTCAAGGGTGCTGTATACAAGTGCTTGATCCTGTGACATGGCATGCTTTAATCTTCATTTTTCTTCCGCTTTTTGATATCTCTATCTTCATTGATTCTACTCCACCCTCTTACTGGACTCATATTATCTTGGTTCTATTCACACACCTTTATTTGTCAGTCATTCCTGTTAGAACATTCTGAGTAGTTTGGGAGGTGAGTGTAGACTGAGGTTTACACACTAATGAGGATGCTTGGGGAAAGTGAACTGAAGGGGTGGAGGGGATAGACTGGCCCTGGTGAAGTGGGTAGCCTCGGATGAGTTTTTCCTGATGGTCTAAGATGGGTGTGGGCCTTAGCTTCTTAGTACACAGAACTTGTGTTTGAGCCTGATAGTGAATTCAAGACCAGAGACCCTGATGTGTTGGAATTGCTGGTTGGATTTTACAAAGAATGGTGGACTTTCAAACTTATGGTGACCACTGTTGAATTTTACTGGGACATGACAATTATACTAGAGCCCCTAAAGTGGCAGACCTGAAGTCTCGCTGTTCTCTTTGGTTTGAGGGGAATAAGGGCAGATGATAGGCATATATTGTTTAAAAACGTGTTTGCCACTTTGTCTCTTCCTCTTCGCCTCAGTGACCTTGTTCTCCTTGCAGGTTATGGCCACACCGTGCCCTTGTCAGATGGAGGTAAGGCCTTCTGCATCATCTACTCCGTCATTGGCATTCCCTTCACCCTCCTGTTCCTGACGGCTGTGGTCCAGCGCATCACCGTGCACGTCACCCGCAGGCCGGTCCTCTACTTCCACATCCGCTGGGGCTTCTCCAAGCAGGTGGTGGCCATCGTCCATGCCGTGCTCCTTGGGTTTGTCACTGTGTCCTGCTTCTTCTTCATCCCGGCCGCTGTCTTCTCAGTCCTGGAGGATGACTGGAACTTCCTGGAATCCTTTTATTTTTGTTTTATTTCCCTGAGCACCATTGGCCTGGGGGATTATGTGCCTGGGGAAGGCTACAATCAAAAATTCAGAGAGCTCTATAAGATTGGGATCACGTGTGAGTATTACAGCTCCCTGGCTGCTCCTTCTGTCTCCTTTATTTTATTTATTTATTTATTTATTTATTTTGAGCCCAGCTCTCACTCTGTTGCCCAGGCTGGAGTGCAGTGGTGCGATCTTGGCTCACTGCAACCTCCGCCTTCCGGGTTCAAGGGATTCTCTGCATCAGCCTTCCAAGTAGCTGGGCTTACAGGCTTCTGTCTCTATTTTGCCATTGCAAGCTCCACTTCACCTCTCAATGAGGGGTCATTCATAAAAGCACTGATTGCTTTCTTCTCATTGAGAAGTTTTCCGAATTTACCACCTTCTCAACCATTTCATTTTATGGTTTCCTTCAAAACTGTTTATGCAAAAATCTTATTACTGAGATATTTTTCACAACACCTTAAAATTACAGACGAATTTCTTACTAATAATGTAGGCGTTATAAATGACAGTGTAAAAATACATCATACAGGCCGGGCGCGGTGGCTCACGCCTGTAATCCCAGCACTTTGGGAGGCCGAGGCGGGCGGATCACGAGGTCAGGAGATCGAGACCATCCTGGCTAACACGGTGAAACCCCGTCTGTACTAAAAATACAAAAAATTAGCCGGGCGTGGTAGCGGGCGCCTGTAGTCCCAGCTACTCGGGAGGCTGAGGCAGGAGAATGGCGTGAACCCGGGAGGCGGAGCTTGCAGTGAGCCGAGATCGCGCCACTGCACTCCAGCCTGGGCGACAGAGCGAGACTCCGTCTCAAAAAAAAAAAAAAAAAAAAAAATACATCATACAGAATGTACTTGATAACCAACTGTTAATTAAAAAAAAAGATTGCTCTACTTTATTAAATATTTTAAGGCCAAGAAAACTAGGCCTCGGATAGAGCGTGTTATCAATCATGCTCTTTAATTTACCAGAAAAGTCTTAAAAGAGCTGCTTACCTCATTTGTCCATCTGGTTCTTTTTAGAAGAAGTTCGCCTCTATTAACTGTTTCCAGAATTTTGTGTGTGGAAAATAAAATGGGCATTCAAATTCAGATGGTCAGGGATTTATAATTTTTTAACAGTTTTCATTTTAAATTCAATGTAATATCATAGAAAACTTAACCATCCATTTTCAAGAAACTGTTCATTTCTGTGTGAGCCCTCCTGTCCTTTTCAGCATGCACACAGTTGCAGTTATAATGTACCTACTGTTTTCATTTCTGTCTTGCCTTCTTAAGAATTTTTCAATTTACGACTTGGCTCAGGTCACGTTTTCTAGCGAATCATAGTAGATACTCAAGCAGCCAGATGCTCTGTCTTGGCCCTGTCTTGTAATTCTTAACCCTACAAAATGCTTAGTTGAATTGTGTGTATTTTGACATTTCCTTTAAACCATGGGCTCAGCCAAAACAGACGTTACTCATAAATCCCTAATGCTTTGAACAGTGCCTGGCTACCATACAAGTTCGACAGACTTTTTTTTGCCAAATGGTTACTTAGGATAATTTTATATTTCCTGTAGCTACCATAGGTATTATTTTTAGAGCCCATATGGTATTCACCAGGTGGCAAAACCATAATCCAATCATGCCTCTATTGCTCATTATTTAGCTTTCTTCTAATTCAGGGGTATTATAAATGACATTGTAGAGAATTTTTTTTTTTTGAGATGGAGTTTCATTCTTATTGCCTAGGCTGGAGTGCAATGGCACGATCTCAGCTCACTGCAACCTCCACCTCCCGGGTTCAAGCGATTCTCCTGCCTCAGCCTCCCAAATAGCTGGGATTATAGGCACCTGCCACCACATCCGGCTAATTTTTTGTATTTTTAGTAGAGACAGGGTTTCACCATGTTGGCCAGGCTAGTCACGAACTCCTGACTTCGTGATCTGCCCGCCTCAGCCTACCAAAGTGCTGGGATTACAGGCGTGAGCCACCCCACCTGGCCAAGAATATTTTTGTATATATACACATTTCCTCCTCTGATATTCTTCCAAGAAATGAGATTGCTGGTGCAAAGTGAATACGCCTTTTTGTGACTCATAGAACATAATGACCTGGTGCTTTCCAAATGTTGTTATGAGTTGACACGTCACCAGCATTATCTGAGTGTGACAGTTTCAGCACTCCTGGGGTGGTGATGGCCAGTAGCATTAGAGATGTTTTTTGTGTATGTGAGTTTGATAGCCAAATAAACATTATCTTAACTTTCTTTTCATATTATAGGTGATTGTTTTGTTTTATTTTATTTTATTCTGTGACTTGGAAAGTAGAATGTTTCTGTAATTATGTTTGCTAGCTACAATAATTTTCTCTTATATAAATTGTCTTCTCATAAATTTTGCCCAACCACTTAACTTCTTCAGTGTTTCATATAATACTAAATCCTTGCATAACATTTTATCACTTCTTACAATGTGGATCATTTTTTAAAAAGCAATCTACATAGAATTAGTTTATGTTTTGAGCATCAAGAACCTGAGTATCTAACAAATGAATATTCCAAAGATATATTAGATGTGGGCAGGATAAAATACCCCTGTTTTTGTCTGAAACCCCATGGATATTTTTGTGAGCATTCAAGAGTTTGACAAAATAATTATAAAGGAGGCTGGGCACGGTGGCTCATGCCTGTAATCATAGTACTTTGGGAGACGAAGGCAGGCAGATCACTAAGGCCAGGAGTTCGAGACCAACCTGGCCAATATGGTGAAACACCATCTCTACTAAAAATACAAAAATTAGCTGAAAATCACTTGAACCTGGGAGGCGGAGGTTGCAGTAAGCCAACATCATGCCACTGTACTTCAGCTTAGGTGACAGAATGAGGCTCTGTCTCAAAAAATAGTAATAAGAATAATAAAGGAAAAGACACAGAGATCCATCAATTAGTCTAACAATGTCATTACTATTTTTAAAGTACAGGAGAGCACACTGAATGCACGATATTGTTTTCAAAACCTATAGTCAGATTCTGAAGATACTAAAACTTTGTATTCTGTGGTTAATTAGTTTCCTTATTCCTGTTATGCTGCCAATTTTAGCTTCCCTACTTCATACATTTTCGAAAATCCTTCTCAAATGTTTTACCACTGGGACATAAAATCAGAATTTTTGTTATTCTTGGAGTTTTCATCTTCACATTTCTGTTCCTTTTTATGATTTTTTTTTCTGAAAACTCATTTTTAAAATGATGGAAGGAATTTTAAATCACCATTTCCCATCACAGATTCCAAGCAATACATTTTACTTGAGTCAACAGTTATCCTTCATTTTCCCAGTAACAAACTGGTAATGTTGGCCAGTGAATAGTCCACATGTCCAAAAACAACTGAGAGATAATGAAGAGCTTGGCTTTGTTGCTGGATTTAGGTGCAAGTGTAGATAGCCATGCACAAGGACCTATTTAATATCAACATACATTCTTAAATTTTTGATTTAGTTTAGTGTATTAGTCTGTTTTCACACTGCTGATAAAGACATACCCGAGACTGGACAATTTACAAAAGAAAGAGGTTTAATTGGACTTACAGTTCCATGTGGCTAGGGAAGCCTCACAATCATGGTGGAAGGCAAGGAGGAGGAAGTCACATCTTACATGGATGGCAGCAGGCAAAGAGAGAGAGAATGTGTGCAGGGGAAGTCCTCTTTTTAAAACCATCAGATCTCGTGAGACTTATTCACTATCATGAGAACAGCAGGGGAAAGACTTACCCCCATGATTCAACTACCTCCCACCAGGTCCCTCCAACAACACATGGGAATTCAAGATGAGATTTGGGTGGGGACACAGCCAAACCATAGCATTTAAGACTGCAATTTCTATTATAAACTCTTATTCTATAATAGAAATTGTAAGAGTATTGAGTGCTTAAAATCTTCCGAGCACCCCATGATAAAACAAAAACTTTTCTAAAACATCACTGGCTTTTTGTGAGCCACTGATTATAAAGCAGAGGTGGCAAACCCTCCTTGCATAAAATATCACACTTGGGTAAGTGCAGTATGTTATGTGTCTTTAATAATGCCACATCAGCCCCAAGTATTTTTTTTTTCTCAAAAATTGCAGCCTGTGATTCTAACTAATCCAAGTTCATAGGAGGTTAAATCATTCTTCATTGTCTTTCACTCTTTAATAATGGGTAGTTCCTCTTTGAACCATGAACTTAAAAACACTTCTAAAAATTAAGAAACTGGCAATGAGTTTATTCCTTAACAAACACTGTGTTGGCATGAGGTGGGGAGGTAAATCACTCGCTACTTGATTTATCCATGTTGAGATCACACTAAGACAGTGTCCTGTTTCTCACACAGGTTACCTGCTACTTGGCCTTATTGCCATGTTGGTAGTTCTGGAAACCTTCTGTGAACTCCATGAGCTGAAAAAATTCAGAAAAATGTTCTATGTGAAGAAGGACAAGGACGAGGATCAGGTGCACATCATAGAGCATGACCAACTGTCCTTCTCCTCGATCACAGACCAGGCAGCTGGCATGAAAGAGGACCAGAAGCAAAATGAGCCTTTTGTGGCCACCCAGTCATCTGCCTGCGTGGATGGCCCTGCAAACCATTGAGCGTAGGATTTGTTGCATTATGCTAGAGCACCAGGGTCAGGGTGCAAGGAAGAGGCTTAAGTATGTTCATTTTTATCAGAATGCAAAAGCGAAAATTATGTCACTTTAAGAAATAGCTACTGTTTGCAATGTCTTATTAAAAAACAACAAAAAAAGACAAATGGAACAAAGAAGCTGTGACCCCAGCAGGATGTCTAATATGTGAGGAAATGAGATGTCCACCTAAAATTCATATGTGACAAAATTATCTCGACCTTACATAGGAGGAGAATACTTGAAGCAGTATGCTGCTGTGGTTAGAAGCAGATTTTATACTTTTAACTGGAAACTTTGGGGTTTGCATTTAGATCATTTAGCTGATGGCTAAATAGCAAAATTTATATTTAGAAGCAAAAAAAAAAAGCATAGAGATGTGTTTTATAAATAGGTTTATGTGTACTGGTTTGCATGTACCCACCCAAAATGATTATTTTTGTAGAATCTAAGTTAAACTTACTATTTATAATGCATAGGTAACCATTAACTATGTACATATAAAGTATAAATATGTTTATATTCTGTACATATGGTTTAGGTCACCAGATCCTAGTGTAGTTCTGAAACTAAGACTATAGATATTTTGTTTCTTTTGATTTCTCTTTATACTAAAGAATCCAGAGTTGCTACAATAAAATAAGGGGAATAATAAACTTGAGAGTGAATAACCATAGTATTCTGCTGCAATAAATGTTTCTACCCTCTTGCGATAGAATGGTGTCAGATGTCTAACATGTTTATAAACATTTTTTTGAATTGAACAGGTTATGAAAAGGATTTATTAAAAGGTTAAGATACTTTGTTTTGAAAGTACATTGTGATTTGCAGCCACCTAGCACTAAAGCATAGAACTTAAACACGAATCCCTAAATGAACAGATTATGTTACATTAATCTGAGAATTTTAAATTTAGAAGCTAAAATAAATAAAAATCACAGCTGGTTGTAATCTTATGCTTTCATATATCAGAAGTGTGCCTCTATGTAGAATATATATACATATGTGTGTGTATATACATATATATATGTATGTATATATATACATATGTATATATATATATATGTGTGTATATATATATATATATATACGTATATATATATATATAGTCCTTCATAGAAAACATAAAGGTCACATTTAGATGACGTACACAGGATACTATTATATTAAGGATTTTAGAAAAGAAAATGAGAAAGCCCCTGTGTGATAATGAATGTCCACTGACCCCCGCAATGGAGCCTTACCTCCCATGGGTGGCTGCCCAGGAGTTGGTGGTTGAGGGGCTGGTAAAAATCAGTGCAAAATCAGCGCCCTCTGATGAGCCAGCCAAGCACTTTGATCGCGGGCCAGTCTCCTGACAGTGGGTCACTCGCTCAGTAACCTTCTACCTTCTGTACCATGTGCTGCCATGAGTAAATTATTACCAACTGCAGGGCAAAGGGAAAGCATCCCCTTACCCTTCGGAAGATTTGCTGAAAAATCAACTCACAAAAAGGCAGATTAATGAGAAAAGGCATACACATTTATTAACTACCATGCACACAGAAAGAATTACAGAGTGATTGTCCAATATCTCAATAGGGGTTCACATGCTTAAATATCTTACTGATTAGAGGACAGGGAGATGGAAAAATATAGGTGATTTTAGAGGGATAGTATATGATTTTTAGAGGAATCCAAGTGTGCTGCCCCGTAAGCATATTTCCTCCCTGCTGACCATGTCCCTGCAATAGAAGACTGCTGTCATGAGGCCAGATCATTGGTTAAGGGTAGAATAGAGAATCCTTGGAGAATAGAGGCATGCATCCTGCCATAACTGGATCTGCAACATTTCCGATGGTCACAAGCCTTGGTGTGGAGCAGAGTCCTGAGATGCTCATCAATATAAATCACAGAAGCTGGATTACACTTGGAGAGTGTTATTCTATTTTATGCAATGCAGGAAAAAATAATGGCTAGTTTGCTACAGCTGCTTGGCTCTAACATGAGAGGGAAGTTCAAAGTCCAGAAAATGAGGAAGTACGTGAAGAAAAACTTCTGAATCAGATGTGATTAATAAGTAATAGAGTGTAGTACTTAATTTTAGGAACTCGTTTGAATCCGCAGAGAACACATTAAACCTTAATGCCCTTCAGATTGTTGTTAATGTGAAGGGCAAAGTAGAAAAGTAGGAGCAAGTTTTGCCTCGGCCCCCACCCTAGCAGGCAGGAAAGTAAGGGAGGATGTCTTCCCCAGGGTTTCTTTTTGTCTTTGGCCGATGATGCTGCCCTTTGGTCCCCAGGGAGAAGCGAGCTTGGTCACCCAGGAGGAGCTCTGGGTCAGCCTCTCAGAGAACAGAAATTCGGCTTGCTGCAGGCATGACAAGGAGGTGGAAGATGAACAGTGTAGCTAAGCCAGAACTGACCTTGGGAACCCTTTAGTTGGAGGCGAGAGAGTGGGAAGTTGGAGGTAAAAGTGACTACTAGAGAATTCTGGGTGATGAGTACAAGCTGAACTCACTTGCTTAGCTTGAGCCTTCAAGATTGAGTTCCTAAGATGCCTGCGGAATGCCCTCAGGGTAGAACAGCAGCAGAAAGCCTTATCATTCCAGGACATGGTCCTGTGCGTGAACTTAAATGTGACACGTGTCTGGTAGGGATGTTGATTTCAAAGTAGCAGATACACTCCACGTGAGGAGAGAACACAGAGTATCTCAGAGTGGGAGTTCCTAAGCTCTCAGAAATCCAAGGGAAGAGAGACCAAGGGGTGGGAGTAGTCTCTAAATGAATCATGTAAAAGATTCCCAGGACAGATAAAGTTTAGCCCAGATCACTCCATTTATGACACTGGTTTCTTTCTATAGTAGTCATGCCACCAAGATATTTTGAAAGTATTTGTTCAAAAGTTGAAGAAGACAAGTGGGAGAAAAAAGAAACATTTTCTGAAGACAGAAATTTGGTCTGACTTCAAAAAAAATCGAGTAATGTTTAGATTACTGACATGGGGTCACTTTTTTTTTTACCTGAGAAAAAAATCACACTCATACTTTCTCCAAACCAGCTTTATGGGCCTTTTGGAAAATGAATGAGGAGATATTTACAAATCTGGAGACCTCAAGATAACGGAAATAGGCAATGCAAAACCTTCTTAACTCTTTAAAGTACACTGACCTCTTACTAAAAACAGCTATTTGTTTCAAAGAAGAAAAGTTTTAAATTGGCAGAAGCACATGTTGGAGAATTAGAACAGTATTATCTGTCTCTTATTCAGAATTCAGTGAGAGCAGAGCCTCCTGATTGTCTGGCATAATACATTTATTTTGGTATTTGTTGTTGTTAAAGCCTCCATGCTGGGAAGAGCTGTGATAAATACTGATATCCTCAATTTAGGAAGGCAGTCCCTTTAGGATGTAGTTTCAGCAATGTATATATGGCAAATTTAGAAACAAAAGTTTCTTAGCAACTTATAGTTGAAATTGAAATGAGACAGTATACCATTTACTTTATTTGACTATGCCAAGTAACTTTTTAAATCTGTCTCTGTAGCATGTTTGAGATTTTCCTATTGTGACTTTTTTTTTTATTTTGCAAGGGTCTTACATTGTGGAAATTTGGTGCATCAAAGCCTTTTGTGTGAGGCAAGATGTAAAATTGCTGAAGTCAATTTTCCTAACATCTCTCTTATCTAATATGTACTGTCAGGCAAACTCAGCTTTTTGGAGTGCAGTAAAGGACCCAGAAGTAAATAAAAATGCTTTTTAAAGTATTTTTCATGCCCTGGTAGGAAAGCACATTTAAAAAGAAGTAAGCCCTCTCTTTGCTTCACTCATGGCATACACATACTTACTTTGCACACAGTTCTAACAAAATTATTACTCTGTTTTTCCAACCCACAGAAAATAAAGGAGAGAGTTGTATTAAAAGGCAAATTTAAGACAAATTAATTCAACAGAGTTTATTTGAAATTAAAGGATTCATGAACTGGACAGCATTCAAAGCCTGAAGAGGTTCAGAGAATTTCACTGTAGCAGCAAGAGGTGTGGGGTTTTATAGGCGGAACATGCAAGCAAAGCAAAGCAATTGCTTGATTGGCTACAGCTACGTATTTGTCTTAATTGAATATGATCTACTGGAAAATCCCTGGGCTTGTTGGTGGTTTCTGACTGGTAAAGGTTTTTTGTTTGTTTGTTTAACTGTTTATGTTGAATTGGGCTTGGCTGGATTTGTTCACCTAGGAAACAAAGGGCTCTGAGGCCATCTCAGCCTAATGGCCTCTCAATTATTTTAACAATTGCTACCCAAATTTTGTGTCAACATAAATGACGTTACAATTTGTGGTGACACAATTAAAGAATTTAAAAGTCTCCATATGCAACTTGGCAATAATTACTGTGCAATCACTTAGGCGGCCTTAAAATAGTAAGCAGTCTCTCAGTTTCTGTAAAAGCATCCACAGCACTTGCACCATTCCCTTAGCATCCTGTGGCACTCAGCATCTGCGTAGAACAGTCTGACCACTCTATTTTATACTGAGAAGGAGAAATGGTCACACCCTCTAGAGACATGACCACCTGTCTTACTGAAAGCAATTTTTGACTAAGTCTGGAGCCTCATGGCAGCTAACATGCTGCTCTCAAAGGGGGCGCCACAGTGTACTCAGAGCCACAAACCACACACAGGTGGCCTAGCAAATTTTTACCAATGTGGAAAACCCACATTTTAAGCCAATGACAGAACATACTCGGGTCAGTATGATTACAAAGTATGAATACTTAACTTGCGGAAAAAAAATGGATTTTCATTATTTTCATAATGATTTCACTACTGTGATAAGATTTTCATTATTTTCATAATGAAATGTTATTAACACAATTTTCATGACAACATTAAATGATGTTTACAGACATAAAGTAAGTGAATAGTATTTCCATGCAAAATGGTTAAAATTTGCTTTAAGATGTTTCCTTTTTAAGTGGTAATTCTCTTTGCTTAGAAAATTCCCTCAGGCTAAACATCTTATCTTCCACCATGAAGTAACTTGCTGTCTACATATGAAGATGACACTACTGCTAAAATCTTGCATAAATAAATGTCTATATTATTTATTTTAGGTGAAGAATTTAGCTTAGTTTTGAGAGTCTTTTTCATCCTCTTGGTTTTATTATTTATATAAATGACTGTAAGCCAAAAAGTATCTGACACAGGTTCAATCAATGCAGAAGTTTATTTTGTCAAGGTTAAGGACGTGCCTGTGACACAGCCTCAGGAGGTCCTGATGACATGTGTCCAAGGTGGTTGGGCTGCAGCTTGCTTTTATATGTTTTAGGGAGACATAAGACATCAACCAATACATGTAAGATATACATTCGTTTGGTCTGGAAAGGGAGGACAACTCAAGATGGGCGGGCTCCCAGGTCATAGGTGAATTCAAAGATTTTTCTGATTGGTAATGAGTTGAAAGAGTTTATCTAAAGACCCAGAGTCAATAGGAGGGTGTGTTTGGTTTAAAATAAGGGGTGAAGGAGACCAAGGTTCTTATTTTGCAGATAAAGTCTCCAGGTAGCAGGCTTCCGAGAGAATAGCTTGTAAATGGTTTCCTATTAGACTTAAAAAGGTGCCAGACTTAGTTAATTCTCTCCTAGATCAGAAAAAATACCCAGAAAGAGAAGAGGATTCTCTATAAAATGTAGATTTTCCCCACAAGAGACAGCTTTGCAGGGCCATTTCAAAATATATCAAAGAAATATATTTTGGGGTAAAGTATTTCTATTGCTTTCAGGGCCTGCTGTCATATCAGCATCTTATTGCTACAAAGAGTCTGTTTTGTTAGACTTAAGGTCTCTGTTTGAATGTTCATGCTGGTCAGTTGTGTCTGAATTCCTTCCATGGAGGCATGTCCACCCACTCATTTCCATCACAGCCTGAACTAGTGTTTCAGGTTAACTTTGGAATGCCCTTGGCTGAGAGGAGGGATCCATTTAGTGGTTAGGGGGCTTAGAATTGTATCTTTGGTTTACATTCCATGTGTAATTGCAAACATACATATTTTCACCCACATAACTCAGCATTTAATTTTCGCTTCTAAGCAATGACGAGACACCCCGAGCCCATCGGCCACCAGATATTCAGACCTTCCAGTGAGCTCATGGGTGTTCAAAGACATCAGCCTAGTTGACCCCAAACTCCTGCCTTACTTTGTTCTTGCCCTGCGTAAACATCTTTGGTTTAAATTGCTGCATTCATTTGGGATAAGTGCCCTTTTTGATGTTCTCCCTTGCATAACGAAAGCTTTCCTCTAAGCGGTTGTTACCAACTTAGTACATGGTGTGATGCATTGCAAATTAGGACAGTGTGACCTTAAAAACTGGAACCAAGCCTATTCTCACCCATTCAGCAGTGACCAAGCGAGATTTTAAAGGTCACTGTAATTTATGGCACATGCTAGAGCTGGCAGAACTCTATTAAAAAGTAAAATAATAGATTGCCTTTTTGTCACAGTCTATCATTTTTCCCTCAGATTTTGGGGAACTGAAAAGGAGATCAGGCTGCCCCAGGGACCCCTGTCTTGGGAGAGTGAAGCAGAGCCCAGGGCATGGGCATAGCCAGACATTGACAGCACACATTTCTGTTGGTGACTCCCTCCAAAAGGGGCACTGGCTGGAGAAGGACGACAAGCACAGTGGGTCAATGTGGAAACCTAGCTGTGCCACCTGGAACACTTCTCCGGTCACTATGGAGGGTCTTAAAGAGACTAATCACTGCACTCACATTTGTTTTCTTTCCAGCTGATCATCTGTGTTACTTACGTCTGTAGATTTCAAGGTTCCATGGCTATATCTAAGGTAAAAAGAGGAGAAGTATTTTATGAGTGTTACGCAGAATATCTGGCCGAGTGATTATGAAATAGCTTTTCACCCAAGTTGTAAAATGAGAGCATCCTGTGTATTTATTTCCCTTCATACATAATATGTAAAAAGTCCAGTTGCAAGATGCCACTCAGACCCAGTGAAATCCACTGAGAATGGCAAGACCCCATCTTTACGAACAATATTAAAAATAGCTGGCTGTGGTGGTGCACACTCAGGAGGCTGAGGTGGGAGGACCACTTGAACCCAGAAGGTCAAGTCTACAGTGAGCCGTAATGGTGCCCCTGCACTCTAGCCTGAGCAACAGGGCAAGACTTTGTCTCAAACAACAATAAAATAACCCCATAAATTAAAAAAAATTGACCCAGCATAGTTACATGTACAGGTAGTCCCAACTAATTGGGAGGCTGAGACAGGAAGATCGCGTAAGCCCAGGAATTCAAGGTGGAAATGAGCTATGATCATGCCATTGCACTCCAGCCTGGACAACAAAGCAAGACCCCGTCTCTGAAAAAAAAATAATTAAAACAAACAACCCACTGAGAAGAGATGGATGTGAATATGATTTTCCTGACAATTATACCTGTGAACCAAGGAAAAAGAAAAAGATGCAATCAATGAGGCTAGAGAAAGAATGTAGAGTTCATTGAATAAGTGAACACTTTTTAAGGAACATTCTAAAAAATTCAATTTAAGCTACTACATTCATTTAAAAGCCTGGGCTTATTAAATTTTTTTAATTCTAAGCAATGACTAAAAATCAGTATTCTGAGACAACTATAAATAACAGTGAATCATTATCTTTATGGGTAAATAGAATCTCTGTGCAAACAATTCAATGTAATATTACACCATTTGCACACTTAAGTTATGGGCTGTCGCTCCCAGTTCCTTTGCATGTGGCTATATATTTCCAGACCTCTCAGATCAGCCATGGAGCCCCTAGTCAGCTGGTGGAGGCCGTGAAGGGGTCCGCGTTAAGCGCTATACCCCCATCTGTTCTACGACAATGGAATTAAATGGTTTCTAAAGGGAGCTTAGTTCTTCTGGAAACAGGTAAATCTAAGCGTTGTCTAAAAGTGTTAGAGCTCAAGTGTTAAAAGAAGGGAGCTTTTCTGGGGGCAGATTGTAATAATGAATGCGAAGCAATCAGTTTGCTAACTGGTGCTTAGCAAACACTTTTCACAATTGTTAGCTGCTACTATTAAAACCAATTTTAGTCATTTTTCTAAAACACAAAATGATACCCGCTGCTGTGGAAGTGAAATGTGGCACAGATCTTCAAGGAAATTGCCCGTTTTTTATTTGGAGTATAAACACACACCAATTAGCAACACAGGGTCATGAAATTCCAGTGCTAGTTGGTGTCCTGCAAGGAGTCAGCGAAACAATAAACTCAAGGGAGGGGGAGGTCCCTGGGGGTTCCGGTGGATAATGTCAAGGCCAAAGGAAAACTTCTTCTCTTTCCGAAGGTTTGTGGAAAATCAGCTGATAAAAGCAGCTTAATAGAAGAAAAGCATACACAATTATTCGATCATAGTTTTATGTGACACAGGAGCCTTCAGAATGGGGACCCAAAGAGACAGGTAAAATTGTCAGTTCTTATGCTTTAGTTCAACGAAGTATGGATGGCTGTATAGAAATATAATTGGACCAAAAGGGAATGATCGAATGCTAGTAGACTAAGAGGGGAAACCCAGCAAGACCTGTCTGTTTAGATTCTTCTCAGCCTCTCTGAGCACGCATTCCTTCCTTGTGGGTGTGAGGCAGCGCCCTCCCTGGAATGGAGGTCTTATGACCTACAATTAAATGAGATAGGTCAGGAAATTTATTTATGTCCAGTTTTTACACAGAAAGACTGGAGGGGGACACAAAGTCATATTTTTCGGTTTTATGGCTGGCTGTGGGGAAAAGGAGTTCCGGTTTCTATGACCTGCCTTGGAGAAGAGGGATTCTAGTTTCTATGGGTAGCCTTGGGGGAGTTGGGATTGAAAGACAGGAGGGTAGAAGAAGGTCAGAGAATAACTTTTGCTTCTGAGGCCTTCATTTGGGGTATTGTTTTCTGATTCCAACATTAGGAAAGGTTTTGCGGGACACCTGGTCCTTGGAGATTGAGAGTGAGGGCATTTGAGGAGGCCAGTACAAGCCAAAGTGAAGGCCCCAGCCAGGCAGCAGTAGAATGGTTACTTGGGATACAGCATAGTGGCTCAAGGTGGAGATGCCACCACCAGGCACACCTGTGCCAGTCTCCAGATGTGGCACCCTGGGCAAGCCTCTCAACCTCAGCTTCCTCACCTACTAGCCACCCCCTTGGGGGATATAAAGATCATAGTGACTTCTTGGAAAGCGCTTAGCACAGTGCCTGGTCCATTATGTATCATAATACAATTTAATTGCCAGTGTTATCGAATGACCATTCTGAATTTTTTCATTCAGCCTGTTTATTAAATAATAATATTGGCAACTAAAGTATGTTGAGGAGTAGTGACAGCTCGCATCAGTTCAGGAGAGTGAGAGATGGGGGCTTTTGAAGACTTGACGGAAGTTCCTGAGTACTTTGACCTGAGGATTGACCTGAGTCCGGAGTGCAGTCAAGTGAGACTGTCATTAGTGTGTAGAAAATGAATATGGAAGGCATGGTGTTAGGAAGGCTGGCCCACCCAGTGATGCACAGGCTGGATCATTGAGCGGGGTACTGGAGCTGGCAAATACAGCTGGGACGCAGTTCTAGTAATGAAAGTCCGAAAGGGAAGCAAAGAAGAGCAGATAGAAGGGGGAAATAATGCTGAGGGCAGTTTTAACGCATAATTAACATGTCTTCCTAACCCGTAATGATTATGATGCAGAAACATACTGAAGTTTCCAACCTGAAACTAAGATAATGGTGCTTTAACAAAAAATGTAGGGAAGGGAAGGGAAGTTTGTTTCATGGTAATGTTGGGTTTGGTATAATGGAAACTTTCACACAGATTAAATTAGATTACCTGGGCTAAATACCTATCACAATGCCTGACCTGACTTTTTTCTTTTTTCCAGTGATGGGATCTTGCTATGTTGCCCAGGCTGGCTTTGAACTCCTGGGCTCAAGGGATCCTCCTGCTTCAGCCTCCCAAGTAGTGGAAGCACAGGCATGCACCGCTAGGCCTGGCTACAATGTCTGACATTTGGAAGGAAGATATTAAGACTCAGAAAATGGTCAAAGTGTCAACTGCTGAAAAATGTCCAAATAGGTTGATGCAAAGGACATTGGATTTAACTACAAGGTGGACTTGGTGACTTCTGATAGCAGAATTTGAATGAAAAGACTAGGAGAGTCTGTGTAGATACCCAAATTGAAGGGATAGTGACCGTAATAATTGCCTACAAGATAATAGTGCTGATAAACATTTCAAATAGTATAATTTAATGCTTACCTGTACTTTCTGAAATTTTTAGCAATAATTCAAACATTGTGTTTGTGTCCTGCATAAAATTCCGGTTTACCCAACACACACACACACACACACACACACACACACACACACACACACAAATGTAACATCTAATACCATTCTATTTTATTCTTATGTGGTTATGGTGTTAATTTCAGAAGGCTTATTTGGTAAAATGTTCTCAGCTACTTACAGAACCAATTGCATCTACAGATATTTTATAATAATGCATTATGCAACATATTTTATTTTTATTTCACCTCATTTAACCAGTGAAGGTGATTTGTCAAATGTATCCATTTCCAAAATTATTTGTCTATCCAAGACACCCTGCAGACTGAGCATTTGACACGAGATGCCCTTGATATGAGTTCAGACTATAGAGGTCACCCCCAGGGCCTGCAGTGAGAGCTAGCTCTTCAGTCCTTGAGGTGAAACCTGATCAGAGTGAAGATCACTTTAAAAATCAGTTATCCCAAGGGAAAGATTTCCCCACATAATTCTAAAACATTTCTTTATGCCCCATCAGGATTTAAATGCTGTAGTTTATGAGCTGTATTTCCAGGTAATAACAAACAAGCCGCCAACTCGGAATTTATTTGAACTGGCTCTTGCTGCATACTGATAATTAGTGCTCACAAGTGATCCTGGGACCACGCAGAAGATGGCAGTACCTTCTGAAGCATCAAAGAAAGATATCCAGTAGAGTTATAGTCTTGCAGGGACCTCAGTGCACACTGATTCTTTGATAATGAATAGTTTGGGTTACTCTGCTAATTGCATACACTATTCCTTAGCCACGTCTACATAAAATAATGTACAAATATGTACTCGTGAACATTCCTTAAAGTTGCCTAATAGCGCTTAAGAACTGCAATGTCTCTGATTTTTCTTTCTTTTATTGGATATCTGTGGGAACATTGCTATGAGAGCCTGGGAGGAAAGAGCCAGCATTATAATTACAGGAAAGCAGAGGGTTTTGTATTTTTATACTATCATATCCAAAGAATTTGTTTTGTTTTTAAGGTAAGGAAAAAAGAGAGGGGACATTCTCTGTTCTTTAACATAAATTTACGTCTCCAATAGCCCTTCTGTCTTGCACCTCTCTAAAATGAAGGCACTGTGTTTTCATCCGCAGATATGCCCAGAACTCAGGAGATTTCCACCTGCTCTGTCAATAATACTAGGTCTGTGTGCTCAGTGATGCCAGACTGGCTGCCTATGTCTTCATTAGTTTAATTTATTCTTCCTTAGAATGGAACAAATACCAATAATCTCTGAATTCATCGGGACAACATTGAACAAAATTAATTAAGTAGCCATTTTAGATATATTCATAAAGATTGAGAAGGGATAGAAAAACAATTTTTTTTTGGTGAAGGAGAGAGATGAAGGAGATTATTGAAGGGCTACTGCATTTAGGAAGTACAGAAGTACAGCATGCAATGAGCTACGTGGAGGGAAAAAGGGGCTATTTTTATTTTCATTGTTTTGATTTTTAGTGTAAGAATGAAATGTGCCAGTGAAGTAAAAAATCATAGTTGCCAGGAAAACCAAGTTCTCTGTGTTTCATATTTTGTCTTAGAATCTTATATTGGGAGTGATTACTTTCATGTGCGTCCGTGTGAAGAGACCACCAAACAGGCTTTGTGTGAGCAATAAAGCTGTTTATTTCACCTGGGTGCAGGTGGGCTGAGTCTGAAAAGAGAGTCAGCGAAGGGAGATAGAGGTGGGGCCGTTTTATAGGATTTGGGAAGGTAATGGAAAATTACAGTCAAAGGGGGTTGTTCTCTGGTGGGCAGGGGCGGGGGTCACAAGGTGCTCAGTGGGGGAGCTTCTGAGCCAGGAGAAGGAAATTCACAGGGTTAATCACTCAGTTAAGGTGGGGCAGGAACAAATCACAATGGTGGAATGTCATCAGTTAAGGCGGGGCAGGGCCTTTTCACTTCTTTTGTGATTCTTCAGTTACTTCAGGCCATCTGGGCGTATATGTGCAAGTCACAGGGGATGCGATGGCTTGGCTTGGGCTCAGAGGCCTGACATTCCTGCCTTCTTATATTAATAAGAAAAATAAAACAAAATAGTGTTGAAGTGTTGGGGCGGCGAAAATTTTTGGGGGGTGGTATGGAGAGATAATGGGCGATGTTTCTCAGGGCTGCTTCAAGTGGGATTAGGGGCGGCGTGGGAACCTAGAGTGGGAGAGATTAAGCTGAAGGCAGATCTTGTGGTAAGGGGTGATATTGTGGGGACGTTAGAAGAAACATTTGTTGTATAGAATGATTGGTGATGGCCTGGATACGGTTTTGTATGAATTGAAAAACTAAATGGAATAAGAGAAGGAGAAAAACAGATATAAAAGGACTAAGAATTGGGAGGACCTAGGACATCTAATTAGAGAGTGCCTAAGGAGGTTCAGCATAGTCCTGCCAGCAAAGATTATTTATTTACTTCAAGAGTTAAGAGTGGCAGTTTGGGGATAGCACGAGGAGATATCAGCTGTGATGGCTTGGAGAAACAGTGTAAACCGGCAGTGTAAACAAGAGCAGGGCATGTATGAGTAGTTGAGAATGGTGAATAGGAGTATGACTAGACAGAAGATAGTAGGGATGACAAGTTATTTGGGGGCACAGTTTAAGTTCGTCTGGTGTCTGGAATGAGACTGGGGCCTAATAAAAAGGAGCTCAAATGGGCTGTACCTTGTAGCATTCCGAGGACAGGCCTGAATTCTGAGAAGGGAAAGTGGTAAAAGTATTGTCCAGTCCTTTTTAAGTTGGTGGCTGAGCTTGGTGAAGTGTGTTTTTAAAAGACCTTTAGCCCGTTCTACTTTTCTTGAAGATGGAGGACTGTAAGGGATATAAAGGTTTCAATGAATACAAGAGCCTGAAAAACTGCTTGGCCGATTTGACTAATAAAGGCTCATCTGTTATCAGACTGTATAGAGGTGGGAAGGCTAAACTGAGGAATTATGTCTGACAGAAGGGAAGAAATGACTGCGGTGGCCTTCTCAGACCCTGCAGGAAAGGCCTTTACTTATTCAGTGAAAGTGTCTATTTAGACTAAGAGGTATTTTAGTTTCCTGACTCGGGGCATGTTGAGTAAAGCTAATTTGTCAGTCCTGGGTGGGGGCAAATCCTCGAGCTTGATGTGTAGGGAAGGGAGGGGGCCTGAATAATCCCTGAGGAGTAGTAGAAGAGCAGATGGAACACTGAGAAGTTATTTCCTTGAAGATAGATTTCCACGATGGAAAGGAAATGAGAGGTTCTAAGAGGTGGGCTAGTGGCTTGTACTATAGCATAGCCTGCCTTTGCTGGTGTGTGGCGATTAGGCCGGATGGAACTGCCATCAATAAATCAAGCGTGATCAGGGTGAGGAACAGGAAAGAAGGAAATATGGGGAAATGGGGTGAATATCAGGTGGATCAGAGAGATACAGTCATGAGGGTCAGGTGTGATATCAGGAATAATGTGGGAGGCCAGACTGAAGTCTGGGCCAGGAACAATGGTAATTGTGGGACTTAACAAAGAGTGAGCACAGCTGAAGAAGCCGGGGAGCAGAAAGTATATGCGTCAGATATGAGGAAGAAAATAGATTTTGGAAGTTATGCGAAATGTAGAGCATGAGTTGAGCATAGATTGTGATTTTTAGGGCCTCTGAAAGTATTAAAGCAGTGGCAGCCGCTGCACGCAGACATGAGCGCTAGGCTAAAACAGTAAGGTCAAGTTGTTTGGACAGAAAGGCTACAGGGTGCGGTCCTGGCTCTTGTGTAAGAATTCTGAGTGCACTAACTATGCCTAGGAAGGAAAAGAGTTGTTGTTTTGTAAGGGATTGAGGTTTGGGAGATTAATCGGACATGATCAGCAGGGAGAGCACGTGTGTTTTTATGAGAATTATGCCAGGATAGGTAACAGATGAGGATGAAATTTGGACTTGACTGAAGTAATGGGGGCTGTCTGTGAAGCCTTGCCGCAATACAGCCCAGGTAATTTGCTGAGCCTAATGGGTGTCAGGGTCAGTCTAAGTGAAAGCAAAGAGAGGCTGGGAGGAAGGGTGCAAAGGAATAGTAAAGAAAGCATGTTTGAGATCCAGAACAGAATAATGGGTTGTAGAGGGAGGTACTGAGGATAGGAGAGTATATGGGTTTGGCACCACGGGGTGGATAGGCAAAACAATTTGGTTGATAAGGCGCAGATTCTGAACTAACTTGTAAACCTTGTCTGGTTTTAGGACAGGCAAAATGGGGTAATGGTAAGGAGAGTTTATAGGCTTTAAAAGGCCATGCTGTAGCAGGCGAGTGATAACAGGCTTTAATCCTTTTAAAGCGTGCTGTGGGATGGGATCTTGACATTGAGTGGGGTAAGGGTGATTAGGTTTTAATGAGATGGTAAGGGGTGCATGATCGGTCGCCAAGGAGGGAGTAGAGGTATCTTATACTTGTGGGTTAAGGTGGGGGGATACAAGAGGAGGACGCAAAGGAGGCTTTGGATTGGGAAGAAGGGTGGCAATGAGGTGTGGCTGTAGTCCAGGAATAGTCAGGGAAGCAGATAATTTAGTTAAAGTGTCTCAGCCTAATAAGGGAACTGGGCAGGTGGGGATAACTAAAAAGGAGTGCTTAAAAGAGTATTGTCTAAGTTGGCACCAGAGTTGAGGAGTTTTAAGAGGTTTAGAAGCCTGGCCATCAATATCTACAACAGTTATGGAGGCAAGGGAAACAGGCCCTTGAAAAGAAGGTAATGTGGAGTGGGTGGCCTCCGTATTGATTAAGAAGGGGACGGGCTTACCTTCCACTATGAGAGTTACCCGAAGCTCAGCGTCCGTGATGGTTTAGGGGGCTTCCGAGGCGATCGGGCAGTGTCAGTCTTCAGCTGCTAAGCTGAGAAGATCTGGGAAGGAGTCAGTCAGAGAGCCTTGGGCCAGAGTTCCAGGGGCTCTGGGAGTGGCTGCCAGGTGAGTTGAACAGTCCGATTTTCAGTGGAGTCCCGCAGAGATGAGACGCGGCTTAGGAGGAATCCCGGGCTGCGGGCATTCCTTGGCCTGGTGGCCAGATTTCCGTCACTTGTAGCAAGCTCCTGTGGGAGGAGGTTCTGGAGGAACACCTGGCTGCTGCAGTTCAGGCGTTTGGAAGTTCTTGTGTGCTGGAGATGTGGCTGGGGTTTGTCTCACAGTGGAGGCAAGGAATTGCAACATTTTCTATTATTGTACACCTTGAAGGTGGGTTAATTAAGTCCTGTTGTGGGGTTTGAGGGCCAGATTCTAATTTTTGGAGTTTTATTTAATGTCAGGAGCAGATTGGGTAATAAAATGTACATTGAGAATAAGACGGCCTTTTGACCTTTTAGGGTCCAGGGCTGTAAAGCGTCTCAGGGTTGCTGCCAAACAAGCCATGAACTGGGCTGGGTTTTTATATTTGATGAAAAAGAGCCTAAACACTTCTGATTTGGGATAAAGAAAAAGGAGCATTAACCTTGACTATGCCTTTAGCTCCAGCCACCTTTTTAAGAGTAAATTGCTGGGCAGGTGGGGGAGGGCTAGTCACAGAACGAAACTGTAAGCCAGACCGGGTGTGAGGAGGGGAGGTGATAAAAGGATTATAGGGTGGAGGAGCGGAGGCTGAGGAAGAATTGGGACCTAGCTCGGCCTGGCGAGGAGCAGCCTGGTGAGGAGGGGAGAGGTCAGATAGGTCTGTAGAAAAGGAAGATTAGAAAGACTCAGCGACGCTTGGGGTTGGGACTGAGGGGACAGGCGGGAGGGAAAGAAGGAAGATTTGGGACGAGTTGCATTGGGCACAGAGACTAGGAAGGGACTGATGTGTAAAAGAATGCCTGGACGTCAGGCACCTCAGACCGTTTGCCTATTTTACGACAAGAATTATTTAGATCTTGCAGAATGGAAAAATTCAAAGTGCCATTTTCTGGCTATTTGGAACTACTGTCGAGTTTGTATTGGGGTCAAGCGGCATTGCAGAAGAAAATAAGGCATTTAGGTTTTAGGTCAGGTGAGAGTTGAAGAGGTTTTAAGTTCTTAAGAACACAGGCTAAGGGAGAAGGAGAAATAGAAGATGGAAGCTTGCCCATAGTGAAGGAGGCAAGCCCAGAGAAAAGAGTAGAGACACGGAGAAGGGGTGGGGGGTTCTTGCCCTCCAGAAAAGCAGAGAAGGGGTCGGGGCACAGAGATACGAGGTCGTGGCATGGAAATAAGGGATCAGAGCACAGAGATATAAGAGGTTGGGGCACGGAAATAAGGGATCGGGGCACAGAGATATAAGAGGTCGGGGTGCGGAAATAAAGGATCAGGGCACAGAGATATAAGAGGTTGGGGCACTTGCCCCACTCCTAGAAAAGCGAGATTTGCTGCTAACGGTGAAGGAGAAAGGGTAGAGACAATGAGAGAAGGGGTTGGGGTACTTGCCCCTCCCCCAGAAAAACAGGACTTGCCGCTAAGGGTGAAGGAGAAGGGATAGAGACATGGAGAGAAGGGGTTGGGGTACTTGCCTCTCCCCCAGAAAAGTGGGACTTGCCACTAAGGGTGAAGGAGAAGGGGTTGAGGGGTACTTGCCCCTCCCCCAGAAAAGCGGGACTTGCCACTAAGGGTGAAGGAGAAGGGGTTGAGGGGTTCTTGCCCCTGCCCCAGAAAAGCAGAGAAGGGGTAGAGACACGCAGAGAAGGGGTTGGGGTACTTGCCCCTCCCCCAGAAAAGCGGGACTTGCCGCTAAGGGTGAAGGAGAAGGGGTTGAGGGGTTCTTGCCCCTGCCCCAGAAAATCAGAGAAGGGGTAGAGACATGGAGAGAAGGGGTTGGGGTACTCTCCCTTGCGAGATCAATCCCCTGTCCTCCTGCTCTTTGCTCCATGAGAAAGATCCACCTATGACCTCAGGTCCTCAGACCGACCAGCCCAAGAAACATCTCACCAATTTCAAATCCGAGTCACGGCACCAAATTTTATGTACGTCTGTGTGAAGAGACCACCAAACAGGCTTTGTGTGAGCAATAAAGCTGTTTATTTCACCTGGGTGCAGGTGGGCTGAGTCTGAAAAGAGAGTCAGCGAAGGGAGATAGGGGTGGGGCCGTTTTATAGGATTTGGGAAGGTAATGGAAAATTACAGTCAAAGGAGGTTGTTCTCTGGTGGGCAGGGGCGGGGGTCACAAGGTGCTCAGTGAGGGAGCTTTTGAGCCGGGAGAAGGAAATTCACAGGGTTAATCACTCAGTTAAGGTGGGGCAGGAACAAATCACAATGGTGGAATGTCATCAGTTAAGGCGGGGCAGGGCCTTTTCACTTCTTTTGTGATTCTTCAGTTACTTCAGGCCATCTGGGTGTATATGTGCAAGTCACAGGGGATGCAATGGCTTGGCTTGGGCTCAAAGGCCTGACAATTACCAAGATCAGAAATATTTGTTGAATGAATAAGTGATCTCCCAGCACTTCATCAAAAGCAAATTAGGAAGACTGATTTGCCATCAGTATCAGAATTCCCAAGGTTTTCTATCTTCCTATCTCTGAATGGATCAGACTCACAATGGAGACACAGATCACAGTGTCCTCTCTGTACTGTTGACCTTGCTTCTGATCCAGAAAGCCTGCAATTCCCACTGAGTCTACAGTTTTGAAAAGATAGACAGTCATTCCAACACCTAACAGGAGTCCACAAATCACACCATGTCCATGTTTTCACGTGAATGGGAAAAGAGTGGGAAGAGAATAAGAGGTATGCTGGCGATAACAGGATAGGCCCAATAGAGAGCCCTGAGATCAGGAATCTGAACAGACTTGCAGGGTTAGCAGAAAGGGCTAAGTAGGTCAGAAACCAGAGGCTTGATGTTGAAAGAAAGGGAGGATAGGACCTATTTATAGAAAGTAGAAAAGCCAAACTAAAGTCAGTATCTGACTCCTTCTTCATAGGCTTAGCCATGTTCCAAACTGGGTTGATACTGGCCCATTTAACGGTGAGCAGAGTAGTGAAGTAATTCCAGCCAATCCCTGGAAAACGGATTATTAGCAGAGCATGCCAACAGTTTTGGTGAGTTCTGTTCTGGGTCAGTAAACAGTACTTAAGAATATTAAAGGTAGAGTGACCAACTGCCCCAGTTTTCCCTGAACTGAAGGTTTCCTGAAATGTAGGACTTTCAGTGCTAAAACCAGGATAGTTCTGGGCAAACCTGAATAGTCGGTTGCCCTAATTAGGGGTCACAGCAAGACTGGATTCATTTTTTTTTTTTTTGGACAAACACTTACTGAGATCCTGCACTGTGCCAAGTACTACACTAAGCCTTTATAAAACAAAAAGTTCCTGGAGAAGCTTGCAATATGGTGATTGAATAAGGCATTGACTAAATAACACAAATGCTGTAGTGCACCCTGCAGTGGACCCCTTCAGGACTGAGGCCCATCCTTCCCTAGCTGGTGGGAGTGTTGCCTACTAATGGCTCACTGCTGAGTCTGTTCTAGTAATCACCCTCTACTGAAGAAAGCTTTCCTGCTCAAGGTTGTATCTCCTACCTGGAGAGTCTTGATGCAGTGATGGCCAATGTGAGTTACAAAGGTCCAGCCCTCCTGTTCCATTCCAGGCAACTTCAAGGGCCATTCTAGCTCCAGTGCACCCTATTGGCTCATGAGATGCCTGCTTCAACTGCATCACAGTTCAACTCCTCCTTGTGCCTCTCTCACACACGTTGATTGTTCCTAGGATTCCTCACCAACATACCTCTTTTAAACAAACTTCAGAGTCCCAGAGTCAGTCCCCAGGGAAGCCAACCTGTGACCAACATCTAACATTGCAACTGTGCCAGGTGCTCAGAGGGAAAGGTGCCTAGCACTGTGGGAACCTGAGAGAGAAAGAGATCTGACCTAATCAGCACATCATGAGTGAACAGGAATTAACTAGGCAAACAAGAAAGGCAACGTGTTCTAGGCACAGCCAATGGCATGAACAATGGCCCTGTAGTGGAGAAGACCATTATGGTGATGAGGAGGGACCGAATGTGACCCAAGCATTGACAGTAATAGGAGCAGGCAGGCTAAAAGCTAAGGCCACAGAGGCAGCCCGCCAGGTCAAGGGATGGAGGATTTTCTATATCCTAAGAGCAATGAGAGGCCAGTGAAGGCTTTTAGGCAGGGGAGTAACAGGACCCTACAGATCCCCAAGTGTAGGGGATGAAATTTGCAAGATGCCACAGTTACCTTAGAGCCAGTAGCAAGCAAGGATAATAGAAGGCTGGACACTGGCCCAGGTCTTATGCGCCAACCCCCTCCCCTGGCCACTCCCCCAACACCTAGGGCCAGTATCAGCCTAGTTTGGAACATGGCTAAGCCTATAAGCAGGGGGTCAAAGAGCTTCTGCCAAATCAATTAAAGCCTGGAAGGAAAGAGTCAGCATGATAATTACAGGAAAACAGGATTTTACATTTTATACCGTCATATCCAAAGAATGTGTTTTGTTTTTAAGGTAAAGAAAAGAGATGGGGGTGGGGGAATTCTCTATTCTTTGACATCAATTGACACCTCCAATAGCCCTTCTCTTGTCACCTGTCTCTTTTGCTTTGCTATTCCCTCTCACCCTCCATTTCTTCAATTAATATTTATTTTCTGAATGTTATATGCCAATTATGGGGTGATGAGCCTCTGAGGTCCTACCCTTCGTGGCTATTCCCCTGACACCCCCATGTAGGGCCACTGCAGAGCTCATGAGCAGGTCTTCCATGGTTTCTCTGCAGCCTCAGGGCTGGGAGCCTCACAAAACATTTTCCTCTTCTGGATGGTGCCCAGGCATGTGCAGTCTGAGTGGACACCACTACTGGTTCCAGTAATTGTTGGATGAAAAAGGGAGCCAAGTGCACTGAGGGTGGGTACAAGGCCTGTTAAGTCATCTTGAGCTTGAAAACTCATAATGTGATCCCTGAGACATTGCCTCTAGAGCCCATCACTTTGCAGGCACATAGATGTTTGGGACCTTTTCCAAACCCTCCCTGTGTCAAAAAACCGTGCTGAGATCCCTTACCCAGGAAAGCAGAAAGCCTTGCTGTCAAGAGAGGGCTATTGTGTGTGTGTGTGTGTGTGTGTGTGTGTGTGTGAGAGACACAGTCTTGCTCTATCTCCCAGGCCGGAGTGCAGTAGCACAATCTCTGCTCACTGCAACCTCCACCTCCCAGGTTCAAGCAATTCTCGTGCCTCACCCTCCCAAGTAGCTGGAATTACAGGCTCCTGCCCCCACGCCTGGCTAATTTTTGTATTTTTAATAGAGAGGGGGTTTCACCATGTTGGCCAGGCTGGTCTCAAACTCCTGACCTCAGGTGGTCCACCCCTCTCAGCCTCCTAAAGTGCTGGGACTATAGGCGTGAGCCACCGCGCCTGGTCGAGAGGGCTATTAAGTGAGAAGAAAGGTAAAGTAAGTTTGTCATTGAACGTTTTGCTAAGAGTACTTTCCACAGAGATGAGTGAATCTGACTTTCTGTTTCTGAAGGGAAAGAGCTGGGAACTTTTACCCTTTTGGGTCTGGAAAGATCTTAGTCCTCCTGAGAGAAGAGAGGTGTTGTCAGATTGGGGGACATAGATGTCAGAGAGACAAAATTGTAGAAAGAAATGCAGTAGCAAAGGATGGTGTGGTTAAAAAATAAGTAGGAATGTTTTTCTGGACCAACCCTGTCAGTATTTAATTGTTCTCATCCTGATATTGCATTTGTTTCTGTGATTTTTTTTCTAGCCATCACCAGGAGATCTCAAAGCAACTCACAAGTATTCGATTTTCAGGTATGAAACAATTGTAACTTAGGAAACAAAGACAAAAAGAAACAAACAATAAAGCAAGAAAATATGTTGTCCAAAATACAATTAGTGACATCAATAAGCAGAACCGAGTTTTCTGATTGACATCTGGTCGTCCTCTATATAGCACTTGACTTGTCACCTGGCTGATAAAAATCATGTGCAGATGAAGAATTATTTGTTGCCTAAATAACAATTAAAATTGAAGCCATATTACATCACAGAATGCAACCTTTATTATATGAGAATAAGAAAAACAACCTCAGGTCTAGGTCTCCTTGTGGATGGTAAGTAAGTACTTCACATACACTTTATTTAAATTAATGCCCACAGGCTGGGCGCGGTGGTTCACTCCTGTAATCCTAGCACTTTGGGAGGCCGAGACAGGCGGATCACCTGAGGTCAGGAGTTTGAGATCAGCCTGGCCAACACGGTGAAACCCTGTCTCTACTAAAAATACAAAAATTAGCTGGGCATAGTGGCACATGCCTGTAATCCCAGCTACTCAGGAGGCTGAGGTAGAAGAATCGCTGGAACCCGGGAGGCAGAGGTTACAGTGAGCCGAGATCTTGCCACTGCACTCCAGCCTGGGTGACAGTGTGAGACTCTGCCTCAAAATTAATTAATTAATGCCCACAACCTTTCCATGAGCTAAGTCATTGTCATTATCTCAGGGGTAAAGGCAAAAATGTTCCAAAAAACATAATATGTATTTAGTTTTATCCATAGAGATAAATGCTTGTGTGATACTGGCTTGTTCCGACGTGTTTAGAGTAAGCAACGTTTTTCTTGAGAGCTGCTTTCCTTCGGCATCCTTGACCATGTGGCCATCTCCAGGCTGAAGAAACAGAATCTGACTTTTTAGATCCTCCATTCAGCTACTTCCAACCAACTGCATGAAAAAGCTGTCTCCTTTTGTTCTCTTCAAGTGAGGCATTATTTTATTTCTCTGAGCAGCTCTCTCACCTCGTTACCTTTCATACTTCTTTACAACAATATACATTGCAATAAAATACAATTAAAACATCATTTGAGTGCTCCTACACTAGGTCTCTCAGCCTCTTTAAATGGATGCTTTCCTTAGGTAAAATTAAAAAATGCATGCCCTTTATTAATTAATTTTTTTTTTTTTGAGACGGAGTCTTGCTTTGTCACCAGGCTGGAGTGCAGTGGCGTGATCTCAGCTCACTGCAACCTCTGCCTCCCGAGTTCAAGCAATTCCCCTGCCTCAGCCTCCCAAGTAGCTGGGATTACAGGCATGTGCCACCAAGCCCAGCTAATTTTTTGTATTTTAGTAGAGACGGGGTTTTACCATGTTGGCCAAGATGGTCTCGATCTCCTGACCTAGTGATCTGCCTGCCTCGGCCTCCCAAAGTGCTGGGATTACAGGCATGAGCCACTGTGCCTGGCTAAAAATGCATGCCATTTAAAGTGCAACTTGAAGTTCAAACTGTATTATCAGGTCTAAAGATGAATAAGAGCAATGGGGCAGAGAGCATGTTTGCTTCCCAGCCACAGAAGTTTCTATGAGATTCCAATATACTGCCGAGGGGAAGAGATGTTTTCTCAGCACCACAACCCACTGCTTCACCCCACTTTAGTGAATTCTGAGGAGTACACTTTTCCACAGGGCATTCAAGGAGTGTTTATTGTCATGGTTTTCTATTTTTTTAAAAAAGAACTTCAGATGTGGCAGGAAGGAAGGCTTAAAGTTCCATCTGTCAGCTCCTGAAACCGCGTCATTTCTATTCTAGGACTAGACTTGGAATGGTTATGGCAGCTGCCAAAGAGCGTTTGATAAGGAGAGCCTATAACCTCAGCTCTTTATTAGCCTGGAAAGCCTGGGGTCTTGGAAGCTGTGAACTCACTTTGTTAGCTAACTGAGGGGACTCCAAACACTGCCTGGTCACCTCAGATATTTCTGCAACCCAGAGATGGGTGCTGCTGGATTGTCCCCCGGATTAATTCTGTTTCTGACTCAAGCCAAAGGGGTCTAACCTGGGGGAGAATCTCATTAATATTATGAAGACCCAGGGAAGCTTTTGGGAATGATGCGCAGACAATATCTGGGTAGGTAACATGCTTGTGATGTGGCTACAATAACCTAAAAGCTTAAATGTGGAGGAGATGTTGCAGGGCAAAGTCTTTTGAAATGTCCGGGGGCTCCCTCCCCGTGACTTCTGTCTACTCCTCCCTAGTGTTGGCTTCTAGTTAAAGAGCTCATTAACCATATATTTGATTTCTCAAACATGAATAAATCCACTTAGCAGCTTGCTCAAAACCTTTGTTGTAACTTTCTTTTCTCAAATTTAGACTGTCTCCTCACCTACTGAGAAGTTGTGACACTTTCATAATGAGAAGGGTGACTTAAATTTAGAATGAGGCACAATCTTAAGATACAGCGGATTCAATTCAGGCTTTGCCACAAGCTCCATGGGTGGTCTCACTATTTAATTTTTATTTTCCTCATTTCCAGATTTGTCTTCCCCACTGTTTTCTTTGTTATGAACTTTCACAGTCAATTGAGAATTCTGCATCCAGGAAAAAAATTTTATACAAGTACAATCATCCCTGGGTGTGCTCAGAGAAATGGGTCTGTGCAGTTCAAAACTGCTCTTTGAACAACAAAGTGCAACTGTACTTTTCCCTCTATTCTTCCCTCTAATTACCACCCTGGATGTTAAATATGAAATAAACATAAGAAGACGTCTTAAAGGTGGAGAGAGGAATGCAGACCAGCTATGGAACTCAGGGTCCAAGGAAGACACATCAAGCAAACAGCACAGAAAAAACTATGGTCCTACAGTGTCCATGATAGCAAAGACTGAGTGGGGAGCCTAGAGTTTGACCCTCACTAGGCTGTAATGAGGTATCCCCAATGTCCCTGTCTGGGTGGTATCAGAGAAGGCCAAATAGAGAGCTGGAAACTACTCACCATGTGGTAATGAGTCTCCACTTTCACCCCAGCCTACCTCCATACACACACAGTGTCAGTGCAACCTGACTTCAACTCCAGAGGCATCTTTTCCTCCTGCTGCGATGAAGTCAGAGAAGGCCTAGCAGAAAGTCAGGACTTTCAACCCTGCCCAGTGGTAATGGGACCAATCCCACCACAATGTCAGTGGAGAGCCATAATTCTCACCCTCCACTAGCAGTAACAACACCTTCCCCTGGGGAAGTGATGTCAGACATAGCCAACTAAAACAGAAGATTTAAATAAGATGCAGTTTCATGACATAATATTTAAAAAAATCATACCAAACGCAAGGAAGATCTCAAACAGAATGAAAAAGACAATTGATAGATGCCACCACCAACAAAACAGATGTTAGAATTGTCTGAGAAGGATGTTAAAGCAGCCACTAATTCAAAGTTTTGATGAGCAGTTATGAACATGCCTGGTCATAACTGAAAATGAAAAATAGAAAGTCTTAACCAAGGAGGAAACTGCCTCAACCTGATAAAGAGCATCTATAATAAGCCTACAACTAACAGTATACCTAATGATGAAAGACTGAAAGCTTTCCTCCTAAGATTAGAAACAAAGCAAGGGTGTCTGCTCTCACTGATTTTATTCATCATAGTACTGAAAACTCTAGCCAGTGCAATAAGGCAAGAAAAGGAAAGTAAATTCATACATATACAAAAGGAAGAAATAAACTGTTCATATTTGAAGATGACATTAATGTCTACATAGAAAATCCTAAAGATCACAAATGACCTAGAATCTTCAAACAAAAGAACAAATTTGAGCCCTTGTCTTACCCCATATACTAAAATTAACTCAAAGCGGATCAATCTAAGTGCAAGAGTTAAAACTATAATACTCTTAGAGGAAAACACAGGGGAAAATCTTCATGACACTGAATTTGGCAATAATTTCTTGGATATGACACCAAAAGCATAAGCAACAAAATAAATACATACGCAAATTAAACTTTATCAAATTTCAAAACTTCTGTGCATCAAAGGACACTATCAAGAGAGTGAAATGACAACCCAGAGAATGGCAGAAAATATTTGCAAATGACATATCTGATAAGAAATTAATTATTCAGAACATATTTAAAAACTCCTACAACTCAATTACAGCAATATTACAAACAATCCAGTAAAAAGGGAAATGCAGTTAAAACCACAATGAGATACCATGTTACTTTTATTATGATGGCTATTATTTAAAAAAACAGAAAACAATAAGTATTGGTGAAGATGTGAGGAAATTGGAACTCTTAATGGGAATATAAGACAATGTAGCTACTGTGGAAAACATTATGGCAGGTCCTCAAAAAATTAAACATAGAATTACTATATGTTGCAACAATTCCACTTCTGGGTATATACCCACAAGAATTGATAGCAGGGACTCCAGGAGACAGTTGCATACCCATGATCACAGCAGCATTATTCACAGTAGCCAAAAGGTGGAAACAACCCAAATGCCCATCAACAGATGAACAAATAAACAAAATGTGGCATATGCCTACAGTGGAATATTATTTAAGTTTAAAAAGGGATGAAATTCTGACACATGCTATGACATAGGCAAACCTTGAAGACATCATGCTAAGTGAAATAAACCAGTTACAAAAGGACAAACACTGCATGATTCCACTTATATGAGTTACCTGGGATGGTTAAATTTATAGAGATAAAAGGTAGGATGGTAATTACCAAGGGCTGGGGTGAGGGCAGAATGGGGAGTTATTGTTTAATGGGCACAGAGTTTCATTTTAGGGTGATGCAAAGGGTCTGGAGATGGATAGAGATGATGGTTGCATAAGGCATTTATGTACTTAATGCAATTGATGTCTAAACTTAATGATTATAATGATGAAATTTATCTCATGTATATTTTATCACAATAAAAAAACTAATGAGCGAGCTCAGCAAGTCATAGGTTACAAGATAAACCTACAAAAATCAATTTTATTTCTATCATAGACAACAAAATTTTTAAACAATACCATTTACAATTGTTCAAAATATAAAATGTCAGTGTATAAGGCTTCTTTTGTTATACATGTATAACAAAACATGTATAAAGCTTCTCTGCTGAAAACTAAAAACCATGATGAAATAAATTAAAGACAATAGCTATAAACTGAGAGATATACCATATTCATTGATTGGAAGATCAACGTAATAGTAAAGATGTCAGGTCTTCCCTACATTGATACACAAATTTAAAACAAATTCTATCAAAATCCTAGCAACATATGTTGTAAATATAGATAAGATTATCCTAAAATATATATGGAAATAAAAAGAAACTAGAATAGCTTTAAAATATTTTGAATATGAATAAAGTGGGAAGAATTCTACCTTATTGTAGGATTTATTATCTAGCTAATCAAGAGGGATAGATGCAGTGATCAATAAAACAGAATAGAGAATCCAGAAATAAACTTATACAAAGATGCCAAATTGACTTTTGACAAACTTATAGGAAGAACTCAGCGGAGGAAAGATTGGCTTTTAAACAAATAGTGCTGGAGCAATTGACATTTATAGAGAAAACAACAAAAACAGATAAATCTTGACCTTAACCTAAATCTTACACATGGACTCAAAATGGATTATAGACTTAAGTGTAAAACATAAATAATGCATTTAGAAAAATAATTTTTAAAAGATACTTGGGATCTAGGGCTAGGCAAAGCATTCTTAAATTCAACCTCAAAAGCATGATTGATCCATAAAATTTAAAAATATTGATAAATTAGATTTTATCAAAGTAAAAAATTTTGCTCTATGAAAGACTGCTAAGAGGTGTCTCTTTTTCATATACAACATTAGAAGGAAATGTGCACACATTTAAATAGAACAGACAAAAGTGGAGTTGAAGATTTTTATACACAGAAAATGGGTGTGGGACTCAAAGAAAAGAGCCCTTTATTTATTATACATCCCAGCTTCCCTAAGAGTTCCATAAAGGATCTTTGCAGAAACTGTAGAGACCTAGAAAGAAAATGTAGAAAACCTCGGTATGGGGAGAGAGTAAAGTAAATAAAGTGGTGATGTATTAGTCTGTTCTCACACTGCTGCAGAGGAATACAGAGACTGAGTAATTTATAAAGGAAAGAGGTTTAATTGACTCACAGCTCTGCAAGGCTGGGGAGGCCTCAGGAAACACAATCATGGTGGAAGGGGAAGCAACCACGTCCTTCTTCACAAGGTGGCAGGACACAGAAGTGCAAGCAGTGGAAATGACAGACGCTTATAAAACCATCAGATCTCTTGAGAACTTACTCTCATGGTCATGAGAACAGCATGCGGGAAACCGCCCCCATGATCCAAACACCTCCCTCCAGGTCTCTCCCTAAATACGTGGGGATTATGGCGATTACAATTCAAGATGAGATTTGGTTGATGACACAAGGCCTAACTATATCAGGTGGAAAGGCAGGATTGTACAGAAACGTTAGAAATGAAGATATATAAAAAGTAGGTGTGATCATAATCAATACAATTAATTCAACTGTTAAAACACATCAATTCTTTAGCATTGGAAAACAACTCTTCATGAATATTTTCACATTCCTGTACAGTCAAAACCTAGTGAGCAAAAATTTCTGGCAACGTGGGTTAAAGCATGATTGAATGGCAAATGTGCCTTAGAAGTTAGACATTGTATATTTCCCTGGCGGAATTTAAAGTCTTGTCTTCTCTGGAGACATCTGCTAGGGACATTCCTCTTCTCTCTCCAGAGAGTATTTGTTTACCTTCCAGAGCGGAAATCTTTTTCTCGCTCTTCCCCACACCCTGGAAGAAAGGAAGCGCAGATGTGTCAGTCACCTGCAGACGCTCAGAGTTTAATAATTTTGGAGTTCGGCCGGGCGCGGTGGCTCACGCCTGTAATCCCAGCACTTTGGGAGGCCGAGGCGGGTGGATCACGAGGTCAGGAGATCAAGACCATCCTGGCTAACACGGTGAAACCCTGTCTCTACTAAAAAAAAATACAAAAAAAATTAACAGGGCGTGGCGGTGCGTGCCTGTAGTCCCAGCTACTCGGGAGGCTGAGGCAGGAGAATGGCGTGAACCCGGGAGGCGGAGCTTGCAGTGAGCCGAGATCACGCCACTGCACTCCAGGCTGGGCGACAGAGCGAGACTCCATCTCAAAAATAATAATAATAACAATAATAATAATAATTTTGGAGTTCCTCTTCTGTGCTGCATCCCCTGAACATGCAAGTACATCTGGTCCTCAACCTGCCATCCCCTTGGGCAACGGGGGCATGAGGAACAATGCTATGAAGGTGCTCTGTGAGCAATAGTCTGTTCTTTGATCCAGACACTTCGTGGCGTTTCCTGTCTGAATAAAGATAGAGATAAAAACTTATCTTGTAAGACGAGTCTTACTTTCTGACAGCAATCCTATTTTTTAACATTTCAAAGGTTGAGAGTGCATGTTAAACTTCTCTACCAGGTTGCAGGTTCTCATTGATTACGCACAAACTGAAATCTACTTACTGCAGACCTTCTTCTACCTTCCTCTCATTTCTCTGGAGCACTGGCACACTAATCTCTGACTTATCCCACACAACAGATCTGCTCCTTTAAAAACTCCTATTATTGATACACAGCTACTTGATTAGGGGATCCTTGCACTCCTTTAGAAATTGCTTAGTGCTCAAAAAAGCCATAATTTATATTCTTTTGTTTATTCCTTCAAGGTATTTGGGGGAAATACAAGCATGTTATTGGAGGGGAAAGAAACCTGCCCTGTAAAGACTGTATATATTACTACGGAAGAGTGAATGCAGGGATTAATAAATGGGTCTTAGACTACATGTTCATCTGTCTAATTTTAAATTTACTGCCACTTCAGGTTCTATTTGCTTTCTTCTTTATTTTCTGCCATTATTGGCACCAGCTCAGTGCCCATTTGTCCTGACTGCAATCAGCTGCTGTTCTAATAGCCTAATCCTATTCCAGTGCCAGCTTTCACCTCACTGTCTGTGCTAGTGCCAGCCCTGTCCCTGCTGTTTCTAATTTTCTCTTCCCCCAGCCTCCTTTCTACCCCACCACCTGCTATGTACCCACATCATAATCATTTCTAGATTCTTTCATTGTTTCAAAGCTGCTCCCTTGAGTCGTGCTGTTCAACTCCAATATTCTCTCTTAACCCCTTCTCCCACAGGGATTGGCTACATCTCACACTATGTCTTTCTTTTTTGTTTTGCCCAGGTGGATTTTAATATTTTTCTATTAGCTGATTTGTCAAGCCACTAAACAGGAGCCCTTTCTCCTTATTTCTTGTGTCCAGCAAAGGTGAGCTGAATATACACCAACACAGGCAGGATACATGGTGAGCAGAAGTGTCTCAATGTTAGGTTCACAATGAATGAAATATTGAAAATGGGGATTGGGAATTAGTATTCGTGTTATCAACAAATATGTATTGAGTTCCTACAATGCAGCATACACAATTTTAGGTGCTTGGGACCCAGTAATGAAGAGAAGAGACAAAATTCTTGTTCTTAGGAAGCTTACATTTAAGGGGATACATACTACAAGCTAGGCTCAGCTTAGATAATGTACGTGAGTTATCTAATTAAATCCTCACGTGAACCCTATAAGGTGGGTGCCACCCCCAAATAACACTGAGAACCTCTTTTGTTGCCTGTTTGAGTCTTCACTTTGTCATCTGTGACTGGCGGCCAATGCCTCCCTCATAAGATAAATGTCAGGGGAAGACATTGATAATTGTTGAGCACCTACCATAGCCTAGCGGTTTTTTCCAGGTGTTTTTTAAGCTTTTCCTCATCAGCCCTATGAAATGAATTGGCTTCCCTCAGTTTTCAGGTGAAAACCCTAATTATCAGACTAGTAGAATAACTTGTTTAAAGTCACTTAGCTACTAAGCAGCAGGGGTGAATTTAAACTCCTTTCCAATTCTGCTGCTAGCTCAGAAATGAGTTCAGGTGGACGTTATTGTCTGTTGAGTATCCTTCATGTAAAATGTAATATAACACTACTGAGAAATATTTACACTGAAGAAGATAAAGTTCTTGCCATTAATAACAATATAGTCTTGTGGGGGTGAAATGTTTCATTTATAATTAAAATGATTTGCTAGACTGCAGAAAGGTGGGATACAGTCCAGGTGAGTTGATTTAGGACACATGGAGATTTGTCTTCCACCTTGGGGCTGATGCATATTGGTTTGGAGCCTTTGGGACACATTTAAAAGTTGATGGCCAAAAGACAATGAGGGGCATGGCTGTAGATTCCAGGTATGAGACCCAGCAAATCTGTGGTTATGGGAAATGAAGCTATGGAGTGATGGAATTGTCCCAGCTGGGGTTGCAGAATAGTGAGTAAGGAATCTAGCCCAGACAGAAGAACCCAAGGACACCAATATTTAAGGCAGTGGTCCTCAAATTTCACTGTGCATAGCAGTTGCCTAGAGCCTGGCACAGTGGCTCATGCCTGTAGTCCCAGCAACTCAAGAGGCTGAGACAGAAGGATTGCTTGAGGCCCAGGAGTTTGAGGCTGCAGTGTGCTGTGATCGTGTCAGTGCACTCCAGCCTGGGTGACAGAGCGAGATTCCATTTCTAAAAAAAAAAAATTAAAATGAAATAAATTTTTTTAAAAAGTTACCTAGGACAGTGTTTCCCAGACTTTTTCACCTCATGGATATTCACAGAAATGATCCTGCGGGTAAGGTACCTGAGAGAAATGAATGAGGCCGTTCATGCAGGAAGACAATCAGCCCAGGGCTTGTGCCTTTCTTTGCCACAAGCCACTAGAAAGCTGAGGGTGTCTATTCTTCTTTAATTCATTTGCGGCAAAATCATTGGGAAGTTCTTACCTAAAAAAATGTCTGCTAAAAATTCAGATTCTCGGGCTATCTCCTCAGCAATTCTGGCTTCGTGAGTCCAGGACACCACATTTTTAATTAGCTCTGAAAGTGATTTTGATCCAGATAGAATGAGGATCTTTCTTTAAGAAACCTGATTTTAATAGCTTTAAAACAAAATTAAATTTTAAGAAAAGCAATGTGTAATAATCAAACATTATAACTGTATATCTACTTGGTGATATAACCTCATACAGAAGAACCACTTCAAGAAAAATTAAAACATATCAATATTATTGTTCTTACCTAGTAAAATATTCTCTATGGAAAAAAGTGTACCCCCAATAAGAAAATATTAAAGTGCTTGTAGATATTACCATATAATGCTGATGGTACTGTTTTCCTGAGACTCTTATATGTGTATTGCGGGATAATCAAATGAGTAATTACAATGGTGTCACTGAGAAATGAGTTTTCTGGCAATGCTGAAAGAAAGGAAAGACGTGAGATTGATCAGGTTAATGGGCATGCTTAGCACCCAGAATGTTGCATCTAAATACATTTCTCACTGAATGGTTCCAGAGCTCTTTGGAGAACTGGCTGTTTCCCAGTATGGGACAGGAAATTATAATCCTGGGACATTTTGTCACAAAAAGGATACCATCAAAGACAACTGGAGTCATGTCAAAGTGACCCAGAATTCAACATGAATACGCTGCCGCAAGCCAAAGGCAGGAAAATTTGATTATTAATTGGAATAACTGCAAGGGATTGAAACAGATTGACTATGTTTAATCCCTGAGCTCATAAAATCATCAATAATTTTTTTAAAAGTCTTTTGAAATCTTTAGATAATACTAGGGGACTACTTTTATTATTTTGAATACTAGTTTAAACAGAAAGTATCAGTAGGTTATCCTGTTTTTCCTATACAATCATACCTCAGGACAACCAAATGCATGATGAAAAAAGTTTCTCTTTTGGAATAATTCCAGAAAAGAAATTTAGTTAATGATTGGAGTAGATTACCATATTCAGTGGCTGCTAGCATCACAAAAGGAGAGAAAACCAGATGGGTACCTTCTGATGGAACTTCACAAAATCACCTATGACGGAATCTTTTTATAATTTCACCTAAATCTGATCAAACCTCTAGATATAACCAATAATTTCTAGAAAATACAAGGAACAGAGACGCATGTTAAATAATGCCAAAAGGACACCTTCACCAAATTGCAGACCCCATGAACTTTATAAGACAAATGACCCAGAGTTTTCAACTGAATCAAGATAAAATGCAAGAAGAGGCAGGGAATATAGTAGGACAGCCTATAAACTAAAATACTTAAGGGACATGTCAATGAATCTTTATCTCTGTATCTTATTTAGATTTCAATTCAACAAAATTAATTTTTAAAAATCTACAAGAGAAGAAATTGTGAAAACAGGATTGTTATTAGACTGACATTAAGGAATTATAACAACTACATTTGATGAGATTATAATATTGTGATTATCTTTTCTTTGAAAGAAATTCTCACTATATATAGTGATAGAGATCTATATATTCCCACATATATATGATGAAATATTTGCAGGTTAAATAATGTAATGTCTGGGATTTGATCCAAGTCAGGGAGCAGGGAGAAAATGGATGAAGTATAGAAAAAGTAATATGAGTGTGTATTGCACTGATAAGATGCAGTCATGTGTACACCTAGTTCATTATCCTGTTCTCTTCACTTTTATGTATGCTTGAAAATCTACCCCTCAAAAGTTAAGATATAAAAAATAAAGAAAGAAACATGATTCTTTCTTGATTCAGGGTCAGCGGGAAAAAGAGGAATGTTAATTCTCTGTAAAGCAGTGTCCAAAACAGGAAAAAGAACTAGAAAAGCATGATATTGTGAAAGCCAAGCAAACAGTGTTCCAGAAAAGGAGATGGCGAGTCATGAGTGCTGTCAAGAAGTCAGGGAATATGCGAACTTAGAAATGTGCTTTCAGTTACCAGCAAGAGGCAGTGACTACAGCTTTCAGAAGCTCAAAGAAGCAGTGCTCACTACACAGGAAGAAGAGAGCTGATGGCAGGGTGGTGGGGAGCGGGCTTCCTATGGTTAAATCAAGGGCTGTGCCTTGACTGTTTTTAAAGATGGAAGGCACTTGAACAAGTTAAACGTATGAGAAGAAACCAGTAGAGGGGAAGTGATTATAATACATGAGACAGATGGGGCAATCTGAGAGAGAGAAGTCTCTGAGAGGATGAGGAATGGGGAGAGTCGGGAGGGGTGCTTAGTCCAAAAAATAGCTGTCCTCATTTTAGAAGGGCCATTCAATGCTGCACTTCCCCAAATGAGTCATCATCAGAATCACTAGGGAGCTTAGAGAAATCCAATTTCTCCTCTTCCTCCCACCTTGAAGATTCTAACTTTATATATTTGGAGATTTCAATATAATAAAAATACAGTAACTATATTATTTAAAGTCCTCTGAAGAAGTCTGCTAATTAGCCAGGCTTTCCGACTATTGACTTTAATGAGTATTAAATTCATGAAAAAAGTACTTTTTCTTCATCTTTCTCAGAAAAGAGACATTCAGACTCTTGGAGTGAAAACAGTATGTTCTGGGTCTGAGTACCTGGGGGAGGAGAACAGGCTCAGTTAATCTTTGTTCAAACAACACTTAAATACCAAGATTGATCTGTTTCCAAAACATAGCAACAGCTTTTTTTATTGTGGGGCACAATGATCCTAAGCATGCTTGTATTTTGTCATTTATGGTTGTGGGAGTATGGGAGATTAGAAAAATCTATTTAAGAAAGTACAGCATGCAGATGAGGTTATCCTTAATTTCACTACAGAAACCCAAATAGAGCCTGGGGATAGGATAAAGACAACAGGAAAATCAAATAACCAAGGGCTTTAGCATTTGGAGCAAAGAACCAGGGGTGCAACTGTAGAAATCTGGTTCTAATTCCAGTTCTGCCAGTACCTACACATGTCACTAGAGCCTGACATCAGTTTTCTGATCTACACTATTGTGCGTACTAGTTTCAATCCCTAACTGCCTTCTGGGAAGGTCACAGCATGAACAGGACATAACAGATGCAATGGTATTTGATATAAACATGCTGTGTAGACACAATTATTGTGCTGGTCAATGGCCTCAGTGAAAAATTTATCACTCTAAACAATTGGAGAAATTAAGCTGTAAATTTTGAAAGAACTTGGCTTCGTAGATACATGCCATTTCTATCTACTTCCTGTCAGAATGAAAATGATGTAGAAGCATTTTCTGGCACTTTAACAGTTTACTGATTATGGTGACATAGTATGCATATGACATAAAAATATGTGTTAAAAATAATGTTGACCTTATTCTATTTATTCAGCTATTAATTTCAGGGATTTCTGGTTTCCTGATGGATATGGAGCAAAAGTCTTCATAAACCTTGAGTTTTCACTGAATCTTAAGTCTCCTTTTAACCCTCCTTCTCTTAATTGTCACTTAACATATATAAAATATGTCTGAAATTGACATCTTGGCAACCTGAAATCTCTCCTATCTCAGTAAATGGTATCATCACCCGTTTTTAATTAAACTAAGACCTCAAGATTTATCCTTTTGCCCCCCTGAAACCTCATATCTTTTTCTCTGTCATTCACCAACTATAAACATATCAGATTCTTTTCAGTTGCTTAGATAAGCACTAAGCTTGTTTAACACTTCTGGGCTTTTGAACTAATATATTGATGCTAAGGCATGTAATTTAACATATTTTAATTCATTGTTATCAAAATGTGTTTTACAATCAATTTTGTAATTTACAATTATAATTACAGTTTTTTTTTTTCTTTTAGAGGTACAATAGTGACGTCTTAAATCCAATAAAAAACAAAAACAAAATGGTAGTGCCCTCTTCCCTTCTCCAGATCTCCATGTGGCTGGCTCAGTCCAACAGTCCTTTCTGTTGAGCTCAGCTCACTCACCCTCAGTTCAGCTTCCTGCTCTGATGCCACCTTACCTGAAGTTCTCCTCCCCTCATCTCATCCCACTACTTGTTTCCTTTATAGCACTTTTGCCACTTAAAAACATCCATTTGCTTGCTTGTTTATTTTCTGTTTTCTCTACAGCCTAAAGCTCCTCAAAACAGGAGCTTTGTTTTGTTCTCAGCTACACCCCCAGATATGGTGTGTGATCAATGAGTATTTGTTGAAGGAATTGTATGGCAAAGGCATCTCTTCCATAGACATTTATGTGGCCCATCCCACTATCTCAGTAGTGTCTGAGATGGGCAGCTCCCACCTTATCCTCAATGTTCCCAACCCCAGCCCCGCCACCACCACAAGAAATCGCTGTTTTAATCTCCACCATCTAAGAAGTGGCAGGACTTCCAGTGTAACAGACAAAGGCCATGTATAGAATTTCTACAGCGAAAGGCATTTGGCAAAAAACCTACTATTTGAAATGTCTCTAGTCTTAAATCCATCGTTGGGATGAAGGGCAAGTATATTAGTCCATTTTCACACTGCTATAAAGGAATACCAGAGACTGAGTAATTTATAAAGGAAACAGGTTTCATTGACTCACAGTTCCACATGGCTGAGGAGGCCTCAGGAAACTTACAATCACAGCGGAAAGGGAAGCAGGCACCTTCTTCACATAGCAGCAGGAGAGAGAAGAGAAAGCAAAGGAGAAAGAGCCTTTCGTGAAACCATCAGATCAAATGAGAACTCACTCACGATCATGAGAACAGCATGGGGGAAACCGCCCCCATAATCCAATCACCTCTCAGTAGGTCCCTCCCTACTGGACCTAGCAGCTGATGGAAGCAGCTTGGAGTTGCATAGTTCCAGGAGGAGGCACTGGTTCCTGTGTATTCTTCACTTTGTCCTTATCTCCACCCTCCATGTAGTCCAAACTGTCTCTCCAACTGATTGTTCTGCAGTGGTCACATATGGCTGTGCAAGGGGCCAGCACTGCTGCAGCTTCCAGTGAGATATTTCAGTTATGTGGAGCATAAGCAAGGGAGATAAAGTAAAATCCCTATGCTCCTGACAGCATTGCACGGGGCTTCCAGAATGTCACGAAGCCAGCTGCTGGCACTGTTCTCAGGAGAAAAAGGACTTTTCTCTGGAATGGCTCTCTTGGTGTAAGGCCTGGTGGCACATTAATAAATCATACACTTACGGTTTAGATTAAGTCATATTTGAATGAGTCATTTCTCTACACAAATCTCCACTCCCTGTGTCAGCAAGGCTGATGGGCAGAGGAGGCTGAATGTTGGCAGGTGGTGTTATGTGATCAAGTGTTTTTACTTTAATGCCTAAGGAAGACTCTGCTAGCCAGGTGCACAATAGTCTGCACTGTTGGCCTTGGCTAATCTAATCTTAGACACCCTGTGTAATTGGGAAAGAAGGAGAAACTCTGCAATGAGTCATCCAGCAACTTGATCCCCTGGTTTGTTTTTCATTTTGTTTTAAGATGGGCTCTAAGGTCAGGAGAATTAAGAAGTTGGATGTCTGGAAGGGGAGACGTTTTGCCCCGGAAAGAGCTGCAGAGATGTTTGCTGGGCCTGACAGCCAGCTGTGGTCAGCCAGAGAGACACATGACAAGTAGAACTCAGGCATCCCTGCCTTGGGAGACCAGGGCCAGGGCTTCTGTGACATGCACTCGCTTGGAGTCCCATTGATCCCACTGCCCCTCTGGTAGTAGTCCTGTCTTCAGCCCAGATGAGGACTCCCAGAGTTATCCTTGGAAGTTTCCTTCAGTTAGCAATTACTCTGCCTGCTGTCCCGAGACTAGACAATGCCTCCTAACAGCTCACCCCTCTGAGTCCAGCCCCTCCTCACTTCCTGCTCTTTATTAAGAACATTTGTTTGTTCCAAAGCTCTATAAAAGGAGGCTTATAATCTTAAGAGTACCCCTAAATCACTAGCTTTTAATGAAGATAAAATTATCTGTACAGAAAGCAGTGAAACATCACCATTCATTCTGCAATTCCAGATTTCTCCATTGTGTTGTCATTAAATCCATATTACTATGCTAATAAATTTAAACATCTTAGAAGGGGCATAGAAGGAAAGGGAAATGTGTCATAAAATTATTAATAACTTCTTTGTCACCTTGGCTACACAATTTATGGTGGCAATCTCCTGACTACAAAAACAGTGGCTGGCCGGGCATGTTGGCTCATGCCTGTAATCCCAGCATTTTGGGAGGCTGAGTCAGGAGGATCAGTTGAGCCCAGCAGTTTCAGATCAGCCTGGACAACATGGGGAGACTCTGTCTCTACAAGAAATAAACAATATTAATCAGGCATGGTGGCATACGCCTGTAGTCTCAGCTATTTGGGAGGCTGTGGAAGGAGGATCACTTAAGCCTGGGAGGTAGAAGCTTCCACTAACTGAGTTCATGCCACTGCATTCCAGCCTGGGCAACAAAGGAAGATCCTGTATTTAAAAAAGAGAGAGAGAGAGAAAAGAACAGTTTTTGCGAAAACCTACCTTAGATACCTACATAATGATAACGTCAGGGATGATGACTGAGTTTGCTATGTTTCTATAAAGGAACTAGTTATAGTTGTTATTTGTCACATTCTACACAACATGCGGTACACAGTCATGGAACTCATGCCTGCCCCTTCTCTTTCTCCTTCCCTCCATTCCTCTCCTTTTCCTGTCCTCTCTTCCTTGCTTCTTTTTTCTATCTTGCTTTTTATTACAAAATATGACTTTACTAAGTGCTTGTAAGTTCCTCTAAGTAGGGAAGATACCTTTTTTCCACTTCTTAATTGTGGCTACCCCCTGCCATTGACAAAGAGAAAACTTGGCACAGGCTGTTCACAGTGGCTTACATCTGTAATCCCAGTTCTTTGGGAGGCTGAGGTGGGAGGATTGCTTGAGGCCAGGAGTTCAAGGACGCAGTGAGCCATGATCGAGCCACTGCACACTAGTGTGGGTGACAGAATAAGACCCTATCTCAAAAAAAAGATAAAGAAGAAAATATGACAATAAGGCATATTTGCATTTACCTATATATTAAAAACTAAACCTATAGAAGAGTATCCAGTGGGAAGAAGCCAATTTTCCTCCATGTTTCCTGACTCTCCCAATATCACTTACCAGAGATAACCATTATTAACTTTAAAATATATATATATCCTAACATATTATACATATATGTGTGTATATATACCTATTACATATACATACATATGTGTATATGTATATATAAGAATATATGTATACATATACATACTTTTAATATGTATATGTTAAATATGTATGTATGTATATGTACATATATGTATAATGTAAGGATAGAGATACATATTTGTGTGTTTATATGTATATGTAAGGGTACATTTATGTATGTGTGTACATATAAGGGTAGATATATATTTTAAAGTTAATGATTATATAGCACTGATGTTTTTATCTAAAGCTATATTATGGTTAGATATATATGTGTATGTATATGTAAGGGTAGATACATATTTTAAATTTAATAATGATTCTATATAGCATTGATGTTTTTATCTAAATCTATATTTTGGACTTCTTTCCATTCTTCATAATTGCTGCATAGTGTCATTGTATGGATATACCATAATTAGGCTGCTACTCCTTTTTTTTAAAAAAATATTTCCTGTTAACAAGTCACTTGTGTTCATCATTGAAAACCTGGTAAACATAGGCAAGAATTATAGAGTAAAATGTATCCATGATGGTGTATTACACTTTGGGACTACTTGATAAGGCTGCCCAATGGAAAGCTGTCTCTAAGAAGACCCATTGTCCAGCCCTCGAGAGAGAGAGTTGTTGATGAGAGCTTATCTCAGGGGCTCAGATGGGCCTCTAAAATACCATTCCACCTCTGAAATCAGTACAAACTGTATGAGTGACAAATGTCAAAAGAAGTTGTTAAAAGCCATATCAGGGGATTGGGTATTTCTTTGGTTTAATCAGTAATAAATTCCCTCCCAAGTACTTGAGGTGGTGGCTTGGGTTTTTCAAAGAAATACCGTGTGGTATAACAAAAAATATATCTGGTCTTTGTGGCTGGTTATCAACTTGAGCTTCAAAAACCCTAGAGCTTTCCTGACTGACAGGAGTGCTCTTACTATGCTATGGAAGAAACTCCTGATGGGCCCCCTACATTGCTTCAGGATGGGGGCTGGTCCCCAGAAAGATCAGCCACGTTATTAGAAGATTGACACTTTGGACCAGCTTGATTGATTTAATCATTCCTGCCTCAGTAATGAAACCCCAGTAAAAACTCTGGACACTGGGGCCATTTACCTACATTCCATCTCCAGCACAGACCCCAAAATCCTGTGTATGTAAACTCTCTTCTTTCTGGGGTATTTAATATGGGTGCTTTATTACAGTTCTGCAATAACACAATCTCTGTGAGGCTAACTACACAAAATTATGCTTCCTGTTAGTGTTAAAAAGTATAATGGGAACTAGTAGACCTAGATTCTAGTCTTTTGCTATTAACAAGGCATGTAATCTATATAATTTACTTAATTTGCCTATGCCTTAGTTTTGTCATTCATAAGAAAGGGGGGGGGGTTGTACAGTGAAAACTGAGGAACAAAATGAAAGAGTGTGAAAAGTGCTTTGAAATATTAAAAAGTCTCCATCATCTTCAGTACTCAGATTAACCTAGTGTTGGCTCATTGTGATGGATCTCAGGACATGACAACTCTCTATTATTTGTATTTGTATTAGTCTTTTTCTGAATGTACATCTAGCTAAGGTTAGTGAGTGCTTAGTTTTGGGTAGGTAATTTGCTGTGGAATTTCTTTTGTAATTTTGTCTTACATTTCACAACAGATCTAAAAAATAGACACCCTTATGTTCTCATTTTATAGAGAGAAAAAATGAAGTTTAGCACAGAGAAAAGTCAATTTCTCAATGATATGTAACCAGGGAGTGATGGAAACCAAGGTTGTCTGCCTCCAGAGCCCTTGTCCTTGGACACAGTCCTCTACACCTTCCAGCTGATGTTCCAACACACCAGATCTCTGCTCTTGTAAATGCTCAAGGAAGACAGAGAAAAACAAGCTGGTTGCCAATCATGCTATCCTGATGTTCTTCATTTTCATATTTGTCCCAGCAATAATCTATTATTCACAATATGTTGTCATTTTGCTTTGTTGAAGCACTTGGAAGCTTATTTTTAAGGAGCTTTTCCTTAAGAAGCATTATTAACCGTTTTGGTTACCAAATACCTTTTTTCTCAAGGCATCAAAATTATACTTGATTGCACTCATTTTAATTCATTGCACAGATTACATAATAGTTCATTATCTCCTATTATATCTAAATTCCTCTGCAGAGGCTACGCTCTGTTATTTTCATGGAATGGACTGTATTAAACAGAAAGTCTATCATTTACTTAGTAATTCCTATGCTACCAGCAAAATAAAATCTATAAATCCTATACCTATGTGATCTTAGAAATTACCCTTGATTTGTGAAGGAAATTATATAGGATGAAATTTTCCATCATAAACATTTTTTGGCTTGTATATGTCAATGCACTTTCAAACGTAATAGGCCAATTTTGAGAGAGCATTAGTTTCCAGATGCTGGCTGAGCATACAGTATGCTGGAGAGAGGTGCTGTGGTACACTCAGTAGATCCACATTCATAGTATTTGCATTGTAACAGTGTCATTTGAAATAATATAATTCTTTTCTATTCTTCTGGGATTATAAATCTTCCCACCACAATTATCAGAAGCAGAAAAGAGAAGTAAAAAGTCATTAAGTTTAAGAAGATGAGGGATTTGCTAGGGCCCTGTATTAGTTAAGGTAATGAAAGCTTCTGTGCCAATAAATCTAAAAATCCAGAGGTTTATACAGTAGAAGTTTAAGATGTAGCAGTCCAATGTGTGTTGAGTGGGTGGCTTTTCACATAGTGATTCAAGATCTAGGCTCATTCAATTTTGTGACTCCACTTTCATGTAAGGCTGTAGAGTGTTTCATTTCCAACAGAACACAATAGTATTTTAAAGAATATTAAAATTTGCCTTAATGTCAATAGAACTTGAATAATCAGTGGATGGCTTAGGGAGAAAAGAAGGAAAACAAGGGATGTTATTTATGTAATATGAATATTCAATGTCATCAGGCTCTGAAAGCTTGTTATGTTCACCTCCACAGCAGGGATATATAAAGGTAGAGTGAATCTTCTTTCTGACTGTGATCGTTAATTTTATGTGTCAACTTGATGGAATTAAAGGATGCCCAGATAGCTAGTGAAACATTATTTCTGGGTGTGTCTGCAAGGGTATTTCTGGAAGGCGTTTCAAAATAAGCATTTGAATCAATAGACTGAATAAAGAAGATCCTCCTCACTGCCCAGAGTCAGTGAGCACAATCCACTGAGTGCCCAGATAAACAAAAAGGTGGAGAAAGGGTAAATTCTCTCTTTTCTTATCTGGGCTATCCATCTTCTCCTGCACTCAAACCGAATGACTTCCTGGCTTTCCTTGTTCTCCAGCTTACAGACAGCATGTTGTGGGACTTTTCAGTCTCCACAATCATGTGAGCCAATTCTTATAATCTCCTCTTATGTATCTAGACATATCCTATTGGTTTCTGTTTCTCTGACTAATAAGCAGACATTAGTTGGATGGTGATATGGTTTGGCTGTGTCCCCACCCAAATCTCATTATGAATTGTAGCTCCCATAATTCCCACATGTTGCGGGAGGGACCCGGTGGGAGACAACTGAATCATGGGGGCAGTTCCCTCCATACTGTTCTCGTGGTAGTGAATAAGTCTCACGAGATCTGATGTTTTTATAAGGGGCTTCCCCTTTCACTTGGCTCTCATTCTGTCTTCCCTGCTGCCATGCCTCTTTTTCTTTATCAATTACCCAGTCTTGGGTATGTCTTTTATCAGCAACATGAAAACGGACTAATACAGATGGATACTGCCAACTTTGAGACTCTCCTTTTTCTCCGCATCCTTGCTACCCAACTCCTTCTGACCCAGTCTTTTTTTTTTTTTTTTGGTGTTTGTTAACACAGGCCTGCCATGTTTAGTAGGCTGCATGCAGCATTGATAAAGGATAGAGGTCATCGGCATCACTCTAAAGCAAGCACTAGTTCCATGCCCATCTCTTCCTCCTTGGCAAGGACCCCCCCGACACACTGTGCTCACATTAAGTAGTTAGGGGGATATGGGTCATGTTCTAGAATTAAGTAGATCCATCACAGCTATGGACTGAATGCTTGTGTCCTTCAAAATTAATATGTTGAAATTATAACCCTCTAGGTGATGGCATTAGGAGGTGGAACCTCTTGTAGTTGATTCAGTCCCTGGGATTAGTGTCCTAATGAAAGGGACCCTGGAGACTCCCTCATCCCTTCCACCATGTGATGACACAGTGAGAAGATAGTCATCTATGAACCAGGAAAAGGCCATCACCAGACACTGAATCTGCTGGTACCTAGATCTTGGACTTCCCCACCTCCAGAACTGTGAGATATAAATTTCCCTTATTTGTGAGCCACCCAGTCTATGGTGCTTTGTTATAGCACCCTGCCCAGATTAAGAGAATCACTAAAACAATTCTAAAGAATGCAGAGAAGATATAGAAATCAGCCAATAAACCTTTAATGGCATTTATATTGTATATACCATATAATAAAATGCTGTAAATATTGTAGATTCACAAGATTTATTAATGTGTATCATGAGTCTGTTTAGCACTGGGTCATTAAGTTTTCTATTTCCAGGACCACATTCCCACTTCTCAGTGATTATGTCAGGATGTGCATTTCACTTTCAATAGGTTCATCAGCCATAGATCTCAGAGCTCTGTCTCCTTAACAGGAGCTTATGTATCCCTGCTGTGATACAGAGGGTTTATTTCTAAGTACTTTAGGCACCTCACTGTTGCCCACTCTCACCCCTACTCTCAAGAGACTACAGGTGACTTTCAGTAATTATTTGTTGTCATCATTAATGATGATTTATTGCAACATTTAATAAGGTATTCTATGCCCAAGAAAAAAAATACTCTATAAATGCTACTAATGGGAAATTAAGCAGTTCTGTGGAAAATGGCTGAATTAAGAGTCATTTTCCATGAAGTTAGTGCCATGGCATTGGACGATGTTTTGGGATGACCCTGGGAGAGTGAACAGCTTCCTGAGTTGAATATTTTGGGAGAAATCAAAAGACCCAGCTGCCTAATCACTTCAAGCTCTGATTAAGCAACTGTCAGTGCCTGAAATCTACCCTATTGAGCTCAGCTCTAACTGACCTAAACTATTAAAGTGTGAGTGTTCTGCATAGTTAATAATAATTGGCAGATCTAACTAACCCCTTAGAGTCCAGCAGAAAAAAGGAACTGAGATCACAGGCACGACCATTTTGAAGACTAAAGGTCTGGTGAGGAAGAAAGCACAGGGCTTTCGGGAACTGATCCAGTTCATTTGGCTAATTGAGTTGGCATGTGTTTCTGGTAAATGCGGGTATCCTCTAGCAATGAGAGGAAGGTAGGGTTTAAATATCCCTTCCCTGATAATGTTGTTTTCAGACAGTAGATTACAATGCAAGCAAATATTTGATCAAATTATGCCAAGTGTACAAACACTTTCAGCAAGCAGTTGCAGAAACCTCAGACAACCTTTCTTGGAAGCTCAGCAAAGCTCCACTCTGTTTTCAGGCACTCCAACAGGCACCTGGCATAAATTGTTTGCTCCAAAGTCGAGGCAATAATACTCTGAGGGCAAGGTCAGCCAGCCATAGAATCAGATCAGGTGACAGAGTCCTCCAAGAAGTGGAGGGCTCTGACCAATGGGAGCACCAGGAACTTACACTTCAAGCCTGCCTTGAACATATAAGGCTGCTGGGTCTGTCCCTTGTTTAGACCTTGGTCTTCATATATAAGCAGGGGCTGGAGAATCTTTTTGGTCCACCAAATATTTTCAGCACCACCTATTTATCAATATAAAAATTATTTCTAAAATCCCTTCAAATTATCAAATCCCTGGATATGATAGCCATATTGGGAGGTCCTAAGTAAGCACCTCAAGTCATGATCAGTTGTGACCAGACCATGAGCTTTACTGAGGCAGGTGCTTTAACCTGTTTTGTCTCCTAGAATAGTGCCTCAACAACTTTAAGCAGTTTGTACATATTTGACAGTTGAATGAATGAACAAGTACATGTCAATGGATGGTTAAGAAACTTTGCATGCTAACTAAGCACCTTTCATGTTCAGATTAAAACTAATTAGCACACACATCACATGTTTATTCTAAAGAACTTTAAAAGTAAGTTACCATACTGACAATGTAACAGGAGCACTACTGGGGAATGGCCACAACATAATTAGGTAGGGAAATGATACTGGAGGTGAGAGAGAAAGCTCTGTGAATTTGCACAAGTATTATAATTTTATTTATGTATTGAATGTCTGATATCGTTCACCAACGCTATATGGATACATTTTAATAGTTTAACAACTAAATGGATACCCTTTAATAATACTTCATTTAATAACTGTACACAGTTCCTTTAAGTACTCTTCAGATTCTAAGAATACCTCTGCCCACCCCAATTAATCACTTCAGCTCTCCATTATCCACGTGTGCTCACATTCAGCAGATGGCCGATAACTATCACTTTCACCATTGTTAGTTGCTAGAAAGTTTGATTCTGCACCTATTTTTAATACAAATGCACTTTATTCCTTACATCCTGTGCTTGTACAAAAAAAAAACTCTTCAAAATCACCTGGGGAGAATAAAGGTGGGGTATGCTTATCACACGTATTTGCTTTTCTCCACCTTCTGCTGCTGGCAATTACTCTGGGTGTCTATCAAAGAACGTTTCTCTACCAAGGGCTCCATCTTTCCACTTGCAGCTGAAAAGCTAGTCTCACTACTCCAATGTTCCAGAGCCACTTATTTTATTATATTTTAATAGGACACACACAAACTGAGCAGCAACAAAGTCACACTGAAAATGAACCAAAGCTTAACCAAAATGTAGCCCAAGAGAAGGCCCCCAAAGGAATAGCAACATCCACTACAAGTAAAATAATGGGTTCCTCTCTGCAAGGACTTAGCAATAACCCCTAGGCTCTGGGTCTATGTGAGTCCCAGACTGTCTGGATCTTCTGTCCCAAACCCCATATCCCCCCATCTCATCAGCCAGAAGCCCCCCTCACTAGTAAATTGTTAGAAATGTGCTGACAATAATGAATATTAATAGGTGATCATTGCTTTCACTCATTTATAGGACAAATATTTTTTATCAACTACAGTCATGAATGACATAATGATTTTTGGCTAATGACAGATAGCATATATAATGGTGGTCTCATAAGATTATAATACCATATTTTTGCTGTACCCTTTTTTTTTTTTTTTTTGGAGACAGAGTTTATTGCCTGGGTTGAAGTACAGTGGCATGATCATAGCTCACTACAGCCTTGATCTCCTGGGTTCAAGCCTCCTGAGCAGCTGGGACTACAGGTGCACACTGTTTCACCAAGCTAACTAAAAAACAAAGTTTTTGTAAAGACAAGGTCTTGCTATGTTGCCTTGTTGGCAAGGATGGAGAGAAATCAGAAAGCTTGTGCACTTTTGGGGAATCGGAACCCTTGTGCTCTTGGGGAATGTAAAACAGTGGAAAACAGTATGGAGGTTCCTCAAAAAACTAAACATAGAACTACCTCATGGTCCAGCAATCTCAGGTCTGGATATGTTACCCCAGAGAACTAAAAGCAGCATCTCAAAGAGATACTTGTACATCCATCCTCATAGCAGCATTATTCAGAATAGCCAGTAGGCAGAAAAACACCTAGATATCTTTGCCTAATACAAGGTCACAAAGATTTTCTCCTAAGTTTTTTCTGTAAGTTTTACTGTCTTAGCTCTTACATTTTGGTCTGTGATCAATTTCAAGTTGATTTTTGCATATTCAGGTAAGTGAGAAGGTTCTATTTTGCATACAAGTTTCTGGTTAGGTCTCAATTTTCTTGTCTACTAAAGAAGAATAACATTAACTACCTTACAAAATTATTGTGAGGATCAAAATAATTGTAGCTCATAGTTACTGAGTTTGAGTTCTTAGAATATTTCACATGTAGTGACTCATTTCATTCTCACAATAACCCTATCAGTTATTATCTTCATTTTAAAGTTTTAAAAATTAAGACACTGAAAAGCTAAGTAAGTTTTCCAGGGTTGTACAAATGACAAGATTTAGGGGTGAAAATTAATTCCAGACAAATAGGCTTCAGAAACTATATTCTTAACCAAAATACTGTATCAAGAAACCACCAGTATGCTGCTAAAAACACTTCTAAGGGCTTGATAGTTGCATTCATTATCTATCGTTGTGTCACAAATTATCTGAAAACTTAGTGGCTTAAAACAACAAAAACATTTATTATCTCACAGTTTTTGTGGGTTGGATATTTGAGTGCAGCTTAGCTGGGTCCTCTGCTCCAGGTTTCTCACAAGGCTGTTGGCTGAAGCTGTGGTCTCATCTGAAAGCTTGCCTGGGGAAAGATGTGCTTCTAACTCACACATTATATTGTGAGTAGTTCTACTGAGAGACCTGCATATCAAGGAATTGATGTCACCAGCCAAATAGCCAGCAGGTGGGCTTCAGTTCCTCGCCAGCTGTTGGCTGGTGACATCAATTCCTTGATATGCAGGTCTCTCAATGGAACTACTCACAACATAGCAGCTTGGTTTCCATAGAGTGAGGATCAGAGGGATATCTGAGGCAAGTGGGGAGGTGGCAGTTTACACATTAGGTTACACAGTCTTTTTGTAACCTAATGTGAGAAAGGACATCCGCTATGCCTTTTGAATAGTCAGCACTTTTGTCATATTCTGTTTATTACAAGTGAGTCCCTAGGCTCCTGCCCACACTCAAGGAGAGGGTCTTGCTTAAAGGCATAAATGTCCAGAGCCAGGGATAACTGGGAGTCCTTTTAGAGGCTCTCTATCAAGCTATTCTCCTGACTCGGCCTCCTGAGTAGCTGTGATTACAGGCATGTGCCACCACGCCAGGCTAATTTTGTATTTTTGGTAGAGGGGTTTCCCCGTGTTGGTCAGGCTGGTCTCGAACTCCCAACCTCAGGTGATCCACCTGCCTCGGCCTCCGAAAGTGTTGGGATTACAGGTGTGAGCCACTGCGCCCAGCCTCTTCCCCTATTATTATCTCAAAAATAGGGATTAGGTTTTTTAGAATGATTCTGTTTTCTTTAAATATACTTTTGAGGACTAAGAACTTGATTATCAGTTTTTAGAGACAATTCTTTCCAATTTCCAAGGAACTAAATTTACAGATTTCTACCTCTAGTACTTTTTAAAAAAATATGAAGTATGGAGCACTGAAGGATTTACATGCGTAAAGATTTGAGGAAAGTTCTGTGTAGATCTCAGCAGAGTATATTTCTCACATCCCATCACTGAGACTCTGTCACCTTTTGATGTCAAGGCTTTAAAATGACATTTCCAGGTTTTTAGAGGTTAAATAAAATAAAATAAAGCCAAAATAAAACTCTTTTACCAATTAAAGGAATAAAGAAAGAACACTCAACTTCTTGGTAGGATGAAGAAGAAAGCATTTTAATTTGCCTTAATCCTTGAGCCCTCTGAAGAGTCAAGCTTCTTGATGATAATTGATGATAATTCAGCTCCTAAACAACGTTAACAATCCCTCCCTCTTATTTGTGATCCTCTTCCAAAGAGAATCTCAGCTAACTTTAGAGGTATGGCAAGAGAAATCACCTGATCAACAGTATTAACAGCTTAAACTTTGGAGTTCTTTCTGTGGATCTCTCAATACTAGCTGGGATGCCTGCTGTGCTTCAGTGTATATATTTATTTCAAGTAAATAAGACTATTAAATGGAGATTTTGTGTCCCTAAGAACCACTTTCAAGCAGCTCCAGAGATACCAATCACCATAGAATGTGGGTGGTCCCTTCCATTAGGGGATAGGAGTCACTACTCCAGGACTGCTTGGCTGCTGGCTGTGCCTTTATTGGTGACTGTTTTTAGAGGCTCAATATCTTGCCAAAGAAAATTTGAACCACCTGAGTATCTACCTCAGTGCCTTTTGAATAGTCAGCACTGAATAAGTATTTGTTGGCCGAATGAATGGATGTCCTATGGGTTCATGCAATTGTAATCCTATTCAGGATACTGTATCTAGGTTCCTTATCCTACCTTTCCAGACACTGTTTCAATGAGTTAAAGGAACCTCCTGCCAGGAAGGATCATTAACTACCTTATTTGATCTGATCTTTGTTCTGGAAGGCCCAGAGCTAAGGACAAAACCTACAGCTCCCTCTGCATAAGACTTGGATACCTTTAATTCTGTCTGCCCCGAAGTGCCTACAGTCACATGTCAGCCACACTGTGCTCAATCCAAGGACTCATCTGCACAGCCACACTGCTGTCACTAAAGTGTCTAACACATCAAGGGAAGGACTTGGGACATACTTATGAAAACTGTTCAAACATTTGGCACTTGGTTCAAAGACAGAAACCTGGCAAGTGCCAACTCCTATTCCTTCTGGGCATTCATTAGGCCCTAAATATCTGAGTTTTGGCATCATCTGATTTGCCCACCACAATCTCCTTGAAGTTCTCTAGGAGAGAGGAACCAGGCAATAGCAAGTTATGGTTCAGTATATGAGACAGCCTGTTCCATTCATACAAATAAGAGCAACATTTTGCCAAGTACATGCGGTACACCTGCACCCCACAGAATCTGGTTGTGCTTGCCTGAGGGATGACAGGCTCTCCTGGACAGCTGGCCCTGGCTTCCGGTCACGAGTGAGTGCTGGAATTCATGAGTGAATGCAGATCATGGGTGAATTCTTTCTGTGCCTGTCCCTGTCTGTACAACTCTGCACAATTAAGGTCTTCAAATTGCCCTATGCTCTGTGCATTTAGAATATCAGCTGTTTATCCATGATTTACCACATGCCAGATACATTTCTGAACACTTTGCACATTATTAACTGACTTAATCTTCAGTGCAACCCTATCTATGAATGAGCATTCTTTTTGCCTCCCTTTTTCAGATGAGTCATAGAACTTAAGCAACTTGCCCAATGCCACCTTGAAAATGAGAAATGGAAATGAATTTGAACCTATTCAGGCACCAGAACTCGTGCCATAATAAAATCTTGCCTCTCATATTTCGTATCTGACTCAGTTATCTTAGAAAGCAAAAATATGGGCCAGGCACAGTGGCTCATGCCTGTAATCCCAGCACTTTGGGAGGCCGAGGTGGGCGGATCACCTGAGGTCAGGAGTTCGAGACCAGCCTGGCCAATGTGGTGAAACCCCATCTCTACTAAAAATACAAAAATTAGCTGGGCGTGGTGGCGGACGCCTGTAATCCCAGCTACTTGGGAGGCTGAGGCAGGAGAATCACCTGAACCTGGGAGGCGGAGGTCGCAGTGAGCCAAGATCATGACACTGCACTCCAACGTGGGCGACAGAGTAAGACCCTGTCTCAAAAACAGAAGAAAAAAAAAAAGAAAGAAAGCAAGAAAATGCCTGTGCATATTTCTTTGTACACAATTTAGTACCATGACACAAGGATAGAAGCATGTGGCAGATTTTTATTTTGATGAAAAGCAAGCTTTGTCTATCTTGTTAAAGGCGTTTGGATATGATGCAATTCCAAATCAGGCTCTTCTCTTTATTCATATGCCCAACTCACCTGTGGAGACCTCCGAGGAAGCTCAGCTCATTGGCTTTGATTCAGCAACCAGTTTTCCTGACTTTGGAGTAGGAGTCACATGACAGGCTAGGAGGTAAAAGCTGTATCACAGAGAAATAACTCCTTGTCAATTTCCAGTTTCTGCCATTACCTAAAAGGGACCTGACTGAGTGACACTGTGTGGCCTAGAGTGACTTTAGCTGAAGAGTTCACTTTACTGGCTTCTAGGCAATTTATTACCATTATGAACAATCTGCTCTTTTTTTGTCATGCTCTATCATTTCGTAACACTTTCTCTTCTCATAGCAACGTGCTCTTCCCCAGGATGCCCTTATATGGCAGCTATGCCCAGGGCAATGACACTAGCTCACAGTTGTTGTTTACCTTGTGCAGGGGTGAGCAAGGACAGCTTTCCCCTTCATCCTCTGAAGGTTCATTGAAAATGAACTAAAAAAAGGCAGATTAATAGGAGAAAAAGGCATACACATCTATTTTAACATGTATAGCATGGGAGAATTGCAGGAGAATGATTATTCAATAATCCAATGGGGTCCAGGTGCTTATAAACCTTTCTTCATAGGAGAAGGGGTGAGGGGAATGCAGGAGTAAATAAATTTTAGGGAGAATGAATGCACCCAATATTCAGATAGGGATAACTAAATAATTCTCTTAGGGAATTGAATGGGACTGGAGAACAAACACAGTTCAAAGTTTGTCTGAGCTCTAGGTTTGGTGTTTAATTTTTAGTCTTTTTCTCTGTGATGAGTTTTAATCTTCCCTGCTTAATGAAATTTCCAGGAAGGGATTGCAGGCAATTGGATTTCTCTTTGGAAGTCCGGTTTCTGGGCAGATAAGGGAACTTCAGAGAATAGCCTCGTCATCTGCTTTGGGAGAGACAAAGGTGTGAGAGATGGGGGTCGGGGAAAGGTCAGAGGGATCTTGAGACTTTTTGTTTAGTTCCATATTTTGGGAAGTCATTTCCTGAGCCCCAACACTTTTTTATAAAACCAGATTAGTCACTCCAGGCTGCTTTCAGGGCTGCTGTGAAACAGGGATAAAAACAGTTATATTGGTCACCTGCAGGGAAATTATGCCAGGAGGCAAGATGCATATAATTGGCCATGGCAATTTCCAAAGATATGCTACAAATAATCTTTCTCAATTCCATATAGGTCCTTGAATCCTCAGATAGTCCAGTCAAAGCTGATCCTTTGTCCTTGCCAGTGACCGGCAGGTCTTTCCAGACACTCAGAGCGGCCAAGACAGCATTTTTAAAAGCGCCACTCTATATTTAGCAGTCCAAATTGCCTATGGCTTCACTCTCCCTTTGTACTTGCATCACCTAAAAAAGCTCCCCTTCACATGCAAGGTCAAAGAGACGAGGCAGACATTGATTTCTGTTGCCTGTAGAACCCAGAATAACTCTACTACTGAAAATGTTGCTCTAGGGTGGAAACTGAAAAGAATGGATGCTATTCAATTCAACTTTGGCAAAGTGCAGAGGCAGGAGAGAATTTTAGCAAGGTTAGTGCACAGAGGTCCTGGCTTCCCGTGTCCAGAGAATTTCAAGTTCACGTCAGGCCAGGATGATGCCTTGGGATCAGAGGTTTGGCACAATGCCCTGAAGTTCCCACTCTTTCCCGTTTACTTATTTTCTCTTCTTTTGTTCTCCCTTTTCCTCCTCCCTTCTTTCTTTCCTTCCTTCCTTTTTTCCTCCCTTCTTTTCTCTTTCTTCTTCCTCCCTATTTTCCTTCTACTCAGTTCTCAGTTAATGAGCTTTTACTGTTTTTGAGCAAATGGGCTCTCTGCCTGATGTAGACAGAAACCAAGAACCATGGCACCGGCTTTTGAGAAAAGGAAGGCTTTATTGCAAAATCATCAAGCAGGAAGACAGGAAGTAGGTTCAAATCTGGCTCCCTGACTTGGGATCTGGGGAAAGTTTTAAGGGATCAGAGGCTAGGGATAGAATTTAGGAATGCTGACTTGACAGGGTCTGATTGGAAGTATGCTGAGACAGATCTTAGCACAAGATCTTCCAGGCCAATGAACCTCTTGCTTCTGAAAGAGTTCCAGTATTCAGGTTCTGGTCATATCCTAGTCTTGGTTCTGAGAAAATTGGCTGGTTACGGACATTATCAGAGGTCAAAGCTTTTTCCCTTGAGCATCCTTGGGCTACATGACATGCAGTTATTTCGCTCTGTTATACCTACAAGGTAACTTGACATGTTGTTGTCATGAGAGTAGGCCCAGTTTGTTCTGGTCCCACAGTTACATTATTAAATTTTGTGCAGTGTGCGAGGCATCAGGATTATTAAAGTTATTAATAAAAATCACTGACTTAAAAGAGCTCACCTATTAGAGGGCTGGACACACAAACAGGCCATCATAATACAGTGTCATACTAGGATGACAAAGAAGGAGAAAAGGCATTCAGCTAGCCTGAGAGGTGCCAGGGAAGGCTGCCCAGTTAGGATAACACGGAGCTGTGTAACTCTTCATCCCACCAGATAAGAGCTGGCCCCGTGAAGAGCATGCCCCTTATTTCTCCTTTTTTAAGCTTGCATGGCAAATAAGAAAGCCATGTCAGCGGCACTTCAGCCTGCTGCATTCTGCGTCGAGCTCCTGTCTGATTTACCACCTTAGCCTCCTTTCACTGTTGGCATTCTCATTCCTCTGGCCTATGGTTATAGGGTCACACCATCTTCTTTGAGCTTAAGAAAAGGTCTATAAATAAAATAAAATCTCAAAAGGTAAATAGTAATTCTGCATTACACGAGGCAAATATTTAAAACATGATCTACTTTTTCTTTCTTCTTTTTTTTTTTTTTGAGACGGAGTTTTGCTCTTATAGCCCAGGCTAGAGTGCAATGGTGCGATCGCAGCTCACTGCAACCTCTGCCTCCTGGGTTCAAGTGATTCTCCTGCCTCAGCCTCTCCAGCAGTGAGAGGTGAAGCCCGCTGGGCTTCTGGGTCAGGTGGGGACTTGGAGAACTTTTCCGTCTAGCTAAAGGATTGTAAATGCACCAATCAGGGCTCTGTGTCTAGCTATAGGTTTGTAAATGCACCAATCAGCACTCTGTGTCTAGCTAATCGGGTAGGGTACTTGGAGAACTTTTGTGTATAGCTAAAGGATTGTAAATGCACCAATCAGCACTCTGTGTCTAGCTAAAGGTTTGTAAATGCACCAATCAACACTCTGTCAAAACGGACCAATCAGCACTCTGTAAAACGGACCAATCAGCACTCTGTAAAATGGACCAATCAGCTCTCTGTAAAATGGACCAATCAGCAGGATGTGGGTGGGGCCAAATAAAAGCAGGCCACCCGCGTCAGCACCAGCAACCTGCTGGGGTCCAGTTCCAGTCTGTGGGAGGTTTGTTCTTTCGCTCTTCTCAGTGACTCTTGCTGTTGCTCACTTTTTGGGGCTGCGCTAATCTTTATGAGCTGTAACACTCACTGCGAAGGTCTGCACTTCACTCCTGAAGACAGCGAGACCACGAAGGGAGACCACCGGGAGGGACGAACAACTCTGGAGTGCCAGCTTTATGAACTGTAACCCTCACCGCGAAGGTCTGCAGCTTCACTCCTGAAGTCAGCGAGACCACAAACCCAGCAGTAGGAAGAAACTCCAGACACGTCTGAACATCAGAAGGAACAAACTCTGGACACACCATCTTTAAGAACTGTAACACTCACCACAAGTGTCCGCGGCTTCATACTTGAAGTCAGTGAGACCAAGAACCCGCCAATTCCGGACACAGTAGCTGGGATTACATGCGCCCGCCACCACACCCAGGTAACATTTTGTATTTTTAGTAGAGACGGGGTTTCACCATGTTGGCCAGGCTGGTCTGGAACTCCTGATCTCAGGCGATCCACCCTCTTCAGCCTTCCAAAGTGTGGGATTACAGGTGTGAGCCACCATGCCCAGCTCTAAAATTATTTACCTTTTCAAGGAATAAGAGTGTTGGGAGTTAATGGTGTGTCTGGTGGTTGCAATAAGTCAAAAACTGCTGCAGGCTGGGAGCGGTGGCTCACACCTAGCACTTTCGGAGGCTGAGGCGGGTGGGTCACCTGAGGCCAGTGTTGTAGGAAAAAAAGCCAGGTTCTTGTCACACGACCAGGAAAAGTTAGGCACACAGACACTTTGAAGGGGAGAGGGAATGGAATTTATTGTGTGAAAAGGAAGAAAACCTCTCAGAAAAGTGAGAGAAGTTCCTGTTAACGGGGCCCCATTTCACAGTTTGAATCCCAGGTTCTACCCAGGAACAGAAGGGGCCAGCCTCCCCCAGTGCAAACAGCGCAAATTTCCCGAGACTCCACCCCATCCCTCCATCACGCAGGCCGGTGGGAGATTCTCTGGGGATATTCACCGTTATTTTCCTCCTGCAGCTATCATTCCTCCCTCTGAAGAAGTACATGTCACTGCCATCAGAGTAAGGATAAGGATGAAGATCAATCTTAACTGCTTCCTGCTGACAGGGGGCACTGTTTTGAGGAAATGGTAGTCAGAGCTCCCTCAGAGGTCTATGTAAGGGTCCTTGGCAGAAGGGGCCAGCATCCAAGGCTTCAACTGCATGACCATTTGGAGTGGGATGGCCTGAAGGCAAGAAGAGACAAACCGGGTTATTAGAAAACATGTATCAAAACGAAATAAGGTTTGGGCTGGGGGCGGGTAACGACAACTCAAAAATCCCAAGGCCTTTTACCAGTTTGCACAGGGAAAGAGAAGCCAAAGGCCCGTTTGGGAGCATGTCAGGTTTCTGGGTTTTCTTCCACTGAGCCCAATCCTAAGGCAACCAGTTTAAGGTTTGGGAAGTTAACTGTTTCTAGTTTAGAGGATGCATCTGAGGGGAGTGTCCTGTAGTACGGAGACACAATTACTTATCAGTAAAGAGGGGACAGAAGAGGAGGAAGGAAAAAAAAACACTCATTTTCAAAGGAGTCCCAGGGGTTCAGGATGCATTTGAAAGCAGTTACAGACTGAAGATGAATGGCTACTCCTCTAGAAAGAGTGCAGCAGGTGACCCTGGTTTCTTTCTCTTTCTAGCAAAAACTTGGGGTATGTGAGGGAGGGAAAGTGAGGCCTTCCTCTTTCTTTGTTCTGACCTTGTATCCCTGAGTCCTGGTGACTGCGACAGGGCGCCACACATAAGCGTTAAAGCAGCTTTCACCATATTAACAGGGGGCCTAGTAGGTGGGAGGATCTGCTCTTACCCACATATGCCCAATATCCTCTGCAGTCAATAGCCTTGAATTCCCTAGACTTCATTTATGGATAAGTGTGATACTAGTGTGAGCTTTATCCATGAAATGGGAAGCTTGGCTTAATTGGCAGCAATCAGCCATGTTCACCTGTGTTGTGCGTTTTAATTTCTGTTATTATCTGCCTCTGGATCCCTCAGATACAGTTTTCTTTCCTAGAGCTTTGACTTGAAGCTTGACATTGAGTTTCAGACAAAAATTTGTCTCAGGGGGTTTGCGTGGACTCCTTATCGTAATCCAAATGCTAAGGTGAGCTGTGGAATTGAGTCCTCCTCTAACAAGGGAGAAAAAAGGGTGTCTTGTGACATGGCCAGATAACTGGTGGCTATAGTTGTGCTTTCTAAGATTTGGGTGTGTGGTGCTTGGCTTTGGTTAACACTCCTGGTCTTACTTTCCCAAAAAAAAAAAAAAAACCTCCAGGGATGGGCATCCTATTTATTCCCATCACCTGATAGGATTTGCAGGACAATTGTTTAGAACTAGAATATTGATCCATATTTCTACATTACCCATCCCTTTTGTTCTTTCTGAGCTACAGCCAGAGATTGCTGGTTGGTTTACAGAACCAGGTAGGGTTAGTCTAAAATGCAGGCAAAAACTTAAAAATAACTAATGAGTTTAGAATTTAATGACAGATGTAAGTTTTGAAACATAATTTCTATCTCTCAGGTCCTCATTTTTGTTAAAAAAAATGAGAAGACTGTGTTGTTTGCAAAATAAATTTAGGCTTATACTTGGCCTGATTATTTGCATAAAGTGCAGCAAGAATAACTATTTCTACATAGGCCTTTTAGACTGGCTTTGATGAAACTCTGTTCCACAAGGAATCTCAGATAAGACCTTTTAAGCTGAGCCCAGCCATGGGTTTACAAGACCTTTGAAGCCAAGGCCAGCCATGGGTTTGTATCCTCAAATACCTGTGAGTTGGATGATCCTCTCCTCTAAAGGTCCCAAAATAAACGTGGAGCTCCTGGGCCTGTTAGAAAGTGACATGCTTTACTAACCACAGGCCAGGAACCCTGTACAGGGACTGTGTAGACAAGGGTATGAGGCCAGTTTTCTCAAGGGCCTTTTATTGGCTCTGCAAGTTGAGCTTGACTCCTTAAAGGGAAGCATACCCTTCTAGTCAAAGCCTTGGTAAAACAACCAGTTTCTCTAAATTGAGTTTTTCTCTAAAAAGAGAAAAACCAGTTTCTCTTGCAAAAGAAAATGGATTCTTAATTGCATTGATGCAAACAACTATATTGCCATAAATTGAGAATACTCACGATAGTTTCCAAATTCTACAGGAACCAGGCAAAGAGAAACAAACATACTCCAAATTTTGTCCACAGGAGTATAACTTACTCAATTATTAAAGGCCATAAATAGTTCAAAATAAGTTTCCTTGACTCTGAAAAACAAAACAAGGATTAGCAATATTCCAAGCAAAAGTTAAAAAGATTGGTTCAGCATTCTGAATTCAGTCTGTCATTTAGTTAACTCCTTGTTTTGCTTGATACTTGTCAAGATTTTAGCTCTTCATGAGTCCTGTACATTTTTCTTTTATTCCATTGTCACAATCTCCTAAGTTATCAGAAACCTGTATTTGAGAGCACCTGTCCAAGTCCTATAGCTTACTATAAACCATCTTTTGAAAAGGATTAAAACAAGACAATGATCTTCTGTGAATAACAAAATGTCCAGGGTAGTTACAGTTGGAAACACAATTGAAAAGGAAGTTTGGTTATCTCTGCAGTTTACAATAAATTAACATAACCTTAATCATGGTTAATAGCATATATTTTAGACATTAGAATTTTAGAAATCCCATACAATTTTGGAACTTACGTTAGTATCATTCACCAAAATTTAACCTAAAGATAATTGAACACCATTTTGGCAATCCCATGTACCTAAACATGTCAAATAATCCTGTTTACCTCTTTTGGATACTCCAGGGGCCCTCTGAAGCATCCAAAAGCCAGGGGTGAGGAAAGACAATTTTGAAACTGAGGTTTGATTTTGGGAAGCCTGTTAAGTGTTAGAGATTTAAAATACTTGATGTTAGGAAATAGAATTCCAGATTATCATAAATTATTTATTTTGCCAAAATGATGACTCAGAAATTTATAAAAAGCAAAAACTTTCTATAACCCTTTAAAAATTTTGCTAGCACAGATTCGTGCCTTAAGAGTACCTTATTGTGCCTTTATTTCAATGTTCAATTTACAGAAAAGCCATATAATACCTTTTCGAATTTAGTCCATATGTTCACACACAGAATTTTTGCAAGATTAATTTTGACAGTCTTGCCACCACTTATTCAAATTTTTAGCTTTATTCTGTCTAATTCGAAACAAGGCTTTAACCCTAGGCAAGAATTTACATTTCCATGCCTTCTTATAGTCTTACACTAAAACACGTTTTACTGTTCCTGCACACCTAGCATATAAATTTATTTCCAGTAGTTTCAATTACATGTTATAATGGTAACTCCTAGCAATTTTTAACTTTAATGTAAAACTTGGCAAGTTGTTTTGATTGTGTGCCAGGTGCAGCGAAGGTTTTACTCCTTCCAGCATAATTAATTGTGTGATTAGTTCTGTATGTCCTCAGGCCTTACCAAATGTGGAGAAGGCAAGTCAAACAGTTGTCAAAATCCAAAAAGCAGCTTATAACCTTAAAACATTTAGCAAACCCGGCACCTGACCTGCATAATTTAGCCAATCTATTTATATTTTGACAACATCTGCTTTTAGCCAGTAATCTTTAATACTGTTTTTATTTCTCAAAGATTAAAGTCACATGAACTGAAAGGTACCACAGCTTTTTATCTTCCCTTTAAAAAATATTTGATCTAAGCGCTTATCTTCCTTTAGGTCAATTAGAGGTCTTTTTATAGTCATCACACACAACACATATATAGCTACAGAGACAGGCAGAAGAAAACCCAGTCACCATAAGATCTTTCATTTGCCAATCTCCTAATTGGATTATTGGCCTCTAGGTGGAGCCCTTTAAGAAACAGGGCTGGCGGCCGGGCGCGGTGGCTCACGCCTGTAATCCCAGCACTTTGGGAGGCCGAGGCGGGTGGATCATGAGGTCAGGAGATCGAGACCATCCTGGCTAACAAGGTGAAACCCCGTCTCTACTAAAAATACAAAAAATTAGCCGGGCGCGGTGGCGGGCGCCTGTAGTCCCAGCTACTGGGGAGGCTGAGGCAGGAGAATGGCGTGAACCCGGGAAGCGGAGCTTGCAGTGAGCCGAGATTGCACCACTGCAGTCCGCAGTCCGGCCTGGGCGACAGAGCGAGACTCCGTCTCAAAAAAAAAAAAAAAAAAAAAAAAAAAAAGAAACAGGGCTGGCTGGGCGCGGTGGCTCACGCTTGTAATCCCAGCACTTTGGGAGCACTTTGGGAGGCAGGTAGATCAGGAGATCGAGATCATCCTGGCTAACACAGTGAAACCCCATCTCTACTAAAAATACAAAAAAAATTAGCCAGGCGTGGTGGTGGGCGCCTTATGTAGTCCCAGCTACTCGGGAGGCTGAGGCAGGAGAATGGCGTGAACCCGGGAGGCGGAGCTTGTAGTGAGCCGAGATCGCGCCACTGTACTCCAGCTTGGGCGACAGAGCGAGACTCCGTCTCAAAAAAAAAAAAAATAAGAAACAGGGCTAGGAAAACATGCAGCTTCTAAGGCCTAATAAACAGCCATAAATGGGGCAAAAAACAGATTTTGAGAGGTATCTATCCACTTTTAATTTCTGGGCTTCCGTGAGGAAAACAGAGGTCTCTCTTCTCTCATGTAGGCACTGAGAGTGGCAAGGCCAAATGGAGAAAAATAATTCAGTCGACTGAGAAAAAAACCTCTTTCTAGCAAAACAAGATCCAAGAAAAGAAAAACGTAAAGGCCTTTTAAATATACTTATGACTTATATCCACTTATAATTAACCTGGGTGCTCTTTAAGAAAATCTTTTTAACTCTCTTATAACCTTAATTTAGCCACGCCAGGGGGCCAATATTTCTGGCTTTCAAACTTCATTAAAGGCTCAGAGAAAGGAAAATTCAAGGCTGTTTGTGGAGGGGAAGAGAACAGAGAGCAAAGGTTGCGTAGATACCAAACCAGAAAGGACTCATTCCCTACACCAGGATTGAACCCCAGGCCACCATTGTAAAATGGCGGAGGCCAAAACAAAACCATTGTCACGTGGTTGCAGGCCACACTCCCAAAGATGTGAAACAAGATGGAGGCCTGCCACAGAGTTTGCTGCGGACTATACAGAAAGACATGGAAAGCACACCAGATTGGCTACAACTCAAGACCAACCTCATAAATCCTTTTTCATAATTAAAACTTTACAGAGAATATAAACAGTGATCTCTATTATTTTTGGCACATCAAAATGTCTTCCAAAAGGGAAAAAAAAACTCACTTAAAAGTCAACTGCTGACAGGGTAGGGAAAAGAAAAAAGATGCCTGGGGAAGAACGTTTTATTCTTTTGCAAATGAGTTCCTCCACCAGGGAGAGTAACTTAATTGCTGTCCGATGGAGTGGGACCCCTTGGCTGGGGGAGGGGAAGGCTCTGTGGCTGTGTGGCAGGGAGCTGGCCAGCCTGCCTTTGGGCACCCTTGGGCCATGCATTCCAGCCCTGGCCAGGAGGGGAGCAGGAGAGCCACCATTCACTGATCTATCCCACGTGCACCTGCAGCTGTTGTGGTGGGGTGGGGTACAGTTTTCTCTATCCTCAGAAGAGGTATGAGGACAAAAAGGCTTAGAAGCAAAAGAAAAAAATGATCTTTTGGTTTGCGTGATACTCACCCTCCCTCACGCCCTATGTCTGGATGCCAAAAATATCATAGAAAAAAAAAACTGCGTTCTTGTCACACGACCAGGAAAAGTTAGACACGCAGACGCTTTTAAGGGTGAGGGAGAATGGAATTTATTGGGTGAAAAGGAAGATAAACTCTCAGCAAAGTGAGAGAGGTTCCTGTTAACAGGCCCCCATCTCACAGATTGAGAAGGAACCACGCTCCTCCCCCTGCAAATGGCAGGAACTTCCCAAGGCTCCACCCCATCCACCCAGTGGGCAGGCCAGTGGAAGATTCTCCAGGCCCCCTTATCTTCCTTCTGTATCTCAGGAGTTTGAGGCCAGCCTGGCCAACATAGTGAAATCCCGTCATTACTAAAAATACAAAAATTAATAGGGCATGGTGGCACATGACTGTAATCCCAGCTACTCAGGGTGCTGAGGCATGAGAATAGTTTGAACCTGGGAGGTGGAGGTTGCAGTGAGCCAGTGAGCTGAGATCATGCCACTGCATTCCAGCCTGGGTGACAGAGTGAGACTCTGTCTCAAAAACAAAAACAACCAACAAGACACTGCTGTACAAGTGAACTGAGATATCTAGTACAAAATAAGCTTTGGGCCAGGTGCAGTGGCTCACACCTGTAATCCCAGCACTTTGGGAAGCTGAGGCAGGTGGATCACCAGAGATCAGGAGTTCGAGACCAGCTTAGCCAACAGGGTGAAAACCCGTCTCTAGCAAAAAATACAAAAATTAGCTGGGTATGGTGGCATTCATCTGTAATCCTAGTTAGGAGGCTGAGGTGGGAGAATCGCTTGAACTGGGGAGGTGGAGGTTGCAGTGAGCCAAGGTTGTGCCACTGTACTCAGCCTGGGTGACAAAGTGAGACCCTGTCTCAGAAAAAAAAAAGAAAAAAGCAAGCAAGCTTGTTTATCCTAAGAAAGACTTTTTAATAAGAGGGTTTGCCTTTGGTTAAAAGCTATCTTAAAAATTAGATCTTTTAGTTTATTTGTACAGTCATAGGTTAGATCTGATACTGGTAAGACTGATCTGGGGCTGAAGTCTCCTGTATCTTATGAATATCTTATGATTCTGTGAGTGAATTCTGTGTGAATGCTGATATATGTAGATGTCAAAAAAAGAGCCAAACTCTGTAAAACATTTGAAGAGATATATTCTGAGCCAAATATTAGTGGCCATGGCCCAAGGCACAGTCTCAAGAGGTCCTGGGACATGTGCCCACGGTGGTTGGGTTACAGCTTGGTTTTATACCTTTTAGGAAGACATAAGACATTAATCATTGATACATGGTTTGGTCCAGAATTGCAGAACAATTTGAAGTGGAGGCTTACAGGTCATAGGTAGATTTAAAGATTTTCTGATTGGCAACTAGGCACGGTGGCTCATGCCTGTAATCCCAATACTTTGGGAGGCCGAGGTGGGCAGATCCCTTGAGACCAGGAGTTTGAGACTAGCCTGGCCAACCTGGTGAAACCTGATCTTTACTAAAAATACAAAAATTAGCCCAGCATGGCACATGCCTGTAATTCCAGCTACTCTGGAGACTAAGGCATGAAAATCACTTGAAACCTGGGAGGCAGAGGTTACAGTGGGCCAAGATGGCACCACTGCACTCCAGCCTGGGCAACACAGCAAGACTGTCTCAAAAAAATAACCAAAAAAACACAAACACGCAAAACCAAAAAATTTTCTGATTGTCAATTGGTTGAAACAATTAAGTTATGATCTGAAAGCCTGGAATCAACAGAAAGAAGTGTCTGTGTTAAGAGAAAGGGTTGTGGAGACCAAAGTACTTATTATGTAGATCAAATGTCAGAACTGGCCACTCTTAGAGATAATAAGTGGCAAATATTTCCTATTCAGACCTGTAAAAAGTGCTAGACTCTCAATCTCTTCAGGATTGGGAGGGTCTGGAAGGGAAAATATTTCATTGTGTTAATAGATTCTTTACAGGATGCAAATCTCCCCCCAACAAAAGACAACTCCACAGAATCATTTCAAAGTATGGCAAAGAAACATATTTTGTGTTAAAATATTTTGATTTCCTCTTTATCCGTCATGTGATGTTATGCCAGAGTCAGGTTGGAAAGTATTATATAGGGTTAAATGCAACCCATCTGGCAAGATTTTATGGTGTGTAGAGCATGACTCCCAGGCCGCTTAGATAGAAATTTGGGCAAAAGGCCGGGCGCGGTGGCTCACGCCTGTAATCCCAGCACTTTGGGAGGCTGAGGCGGGCGGATCATGAGGTCAGGAGATCAAGACCATCCTGGCTAACACAGTGAAACCCCATCTCTACTAAAAATACAAAAAATTAGCCGAGCGTGGTGGCAGGCGCCTGTAGTCCCAGCTACTAGGGAGGCTGAGGCAGGAGAATGGCGTGAACCTGGGAGGCGAAGCTTGCAGTGAGCCGAGATCGCGCCACTGCACTCCAGCCTGGGCAACAGAGACTCTGTATCAAAAAAAAAAGAAAAAAGAAAAAAATTTGGGCAAAAGAGAAAAAAAGGACAGAGTTTAGTTCTCATAGAGATGGGACATTTTTCTGGAAAATGAACTTTTCTTAGCTCCAAAGTTCCCACTTAATTCTGCCTAGGAAGATTTGGTTTCTTTGGTTTAGAAGTACATCCCGTTTTGGGGTAATTACTCACTCCATCCAAGCTTTAAACTTAAAGTTCAGATTCTCTATCAGTTCTGTTGTGTATTGCCTGTCTCCTAGGACGGCATCTGTGTACAGCAGGGTTCACGTCCTGGTGCTGTCCTCTGGGTCCTACCAGCTTTGATCTGCATAAACTCTTGATCTTTGTAAGGTGATCTCTAGTCCTTCCGCACCTGCTGCAGATCTCCTTGGTCCCACCTAGTCTTCCAGAGGGGACAGTGCGCCTATTGCTGATATCATTTTTTCTCTGTCAGGTGTGGGACCACAAAGCCTGCACACTCTGCAGCATTCTCTTGCCGGCCTCAGGCCTCTTCCAATCCACCAATCCCCTCTACATTCCTTCGACCCTCACTAGACTTGCGGAAACACCTGCCTCTCTCCTCATTCAGGCAGGCCAGAGAGGTACTATTTTGAGCTTTTTTTCTCTGCAGCCTACCAACTACCAATTCTAAGTCACTGTCCCAACCTGTCATAAGTATGGGGAAGCTTTTGAGATGGTTTCCTTCCGATAGTTCCAAACAAAAAATAAAAAACAAGCCCTATCAATTCTTTAATCTATCATCTGCTGCCCCATCCCTCATACACACACCTACACATATACACAAGGGCCAGGGTGGCTGAGGCACTGGGTCCCTACTCAGTCTACCATCTGCTCCTTAGCTTCAAATAGCTCCTGCATCCTTGTGCAGGTCAGAAAAAGTTTCCATGCCTTCCTTTTGTAAGAGGTGTTTGAACCAGAGCGACTCCATCTTGAATAGGGGCTGGGTAAAATAAGGCTGAGACCTACTGGGCTGCATTCTAAGTCACAAGATGAGGGACAAGGTCAACACAAGAGTGTGTTCCCCTCACTTATGACAGGTTGGGACAGTGACCTAGAATTGGCAACAGGGTAGGTAAAACAGCATGTGGTAAAGAAGTCAGCGAAAACCTACCAAGATGATGAACGTGACCTCTGGTCGTCTTCACTGCTCTGGTCGTCTTCACTTCGCGACCTCTGGTGGTCTTCACTGCTCATTATGTGCTAATTATATTGCATTAGCATGCTAAAAAACACTCCCACCAGAGCCATGACAGCTTGCCAATGCCATGGTCAACGTCAGGAAGTTACCCTATATGGTCTAAGGGAGAACTCTCGGTTCCGGAAATTGCCCACCCCTTTCCCAGAAAACTCTTGAAAAATCCACCTGTTGTTTAGCATATAATCAGGAAATAACCATAAAATAGACAACCGGCAGTCCTGAGGGCCTGTGGAGTAGCCATTCCTTATTCCTTCACTTTATTAATAAATAAACTTGCTTTCACTTTACTCTATGGACTCACCTCAAATTCTTTCTTGTGTGGGATCCAAGAACCCTCTCTTGAGGTCCTGATTGAGACCCCTTTCCGGTAACATTTTGAGCCAGGGAAATGTTCGAACATGATATCCTCATCTTTCCTACCTATGTTTAGTTTATAAACCTAGATTCCAGGAAGTTTTGGCTCACTGGGACTTGAAAATCTCTTTTTCTCTCAAAAAAGTCTAGCTCTAGCTTTTTGCAACTATTGTCTCTGAAAAGGGCTTCAAGAGTGCTTTGAATGCCAAAAGGGGGCCATTTAATTCCCTTGCTCTTGTTTAGATTTTATCTTCTTTTGAAGCAAGGAGCATAACTCAGCCTTAATGTCTGGACAGCCTCAGGACAGCAAAAATGCTAGGAATAGCAAATGCCCTAAGGTTGTACTTCAGAATAGCAGCTCTCAGACTGGACCTTCCCCACCCATGGCCAGCTGACCCCTACCTTTTGTTCCCATACCCTTGTCTCCCCATCTAGGGCTCCTTCGCCACAGGAGGACCCCTTCATGAAGTGGGGAGGTGGCTGATGGTGTCAAGATGCCCAATCCAGTACTCGGCAGCACTTCCTCCATCAGAAGAGGGGAAGGGGTATTATACAGCCAACATCATAGCTTTTATCTAGGTCAAAAAATGCATGTGCCTTCCATATGTTAAGGCAACATTCAAACGTATTGGATAGAAATACCAAAGTTTAACTGGCTGAACCAACAGAAAGACAAAAGAGCTGCTTAGGAGAATATTTGAGAAACAGAGAATGATATGTTCAGTTGAGAAAGGAATGTCTAAATAAGATTGCTAAGTTAGATACAGGAGCAGTTCCCTTTCTACAATAATGCCTCGGCATAACTTCTCTAACAGGTTATTAACATTTATCTTTTCTGAATCACACTGACTGGAAGCAGTTAAGTGCCTCTATCAGCTGTGAATATTAAGCAAATATGTGGTGACAAAATACAATAAAATGCTACAGGCCTGTCTGATGATGGCTAGTTTACAAAAACAGAGCTCTGTTTTTGTTTGTTTGTTTTTTATTTTTTGAGCCGGAGTCTTGCTTTGTCGCCAGGCTGGAGTGCAGTGGCGTGATCTTGGCAGAGCCCTGTTTTACTGAAACATTAGCATGGTATAAAAACCGAAGCAATGCAAATTTTATAAGTTTAGTACACATGTATGTATATATATCCATGTATACCTATATATATATAAAATGGTATATATATCCATGTGTATATACATACATGTGTACACACACACACACACACACACACACTTCTTTCCTTTCTCACATATGTAGAAGGTAAATCTCCAAAGTATAGTGGAAGTTACTGTTGAGGAGAAAGAGAAGCAAGTTGCAAGGAGACTGGTGTCATTTACCCCTTTTAACCTGCACATCTCAAAAGGTATCCTTTGATTGGTTCATTTCCAGGTGACTCTGCGTGAATGCATACTGATTTTATAATCCAGCTCTCCTTTCTCCTCTGGGAAATGCACCTTCTTCTGTTCCAAGCATATTGATTTAGTGGGAGCAGCTTTGTCATTAGAGAATACACCTGGGCAAAGGGAAGAAGACGGAAGAGGACTGGTGACCGTCACCAACTCAAGAGTCTTGCTTTAAGGATTTCCCAACTGAAGCCAGAGGAAAAAAAAAAACAGCGTCTCTCTGGGGCTAAACCTAGGAATCCCAGTTTCACCACTTTTATCTGTGTGACCTTGGGCAACTTATTTTGACTCTGTCTCTTAGTTTCCTTCTGTAAAATAGGGATAATAGTAGCACTTAACCTGATAAAGTGGTGAAATTTTAGTGAATACATCTAAAAAATTTAGAACAATACTGGGCACACAATAAACTTTCAGTACATTTTGTGAGAAATGGTAGCTGCCATTTCCCATCCCTGTTCGCTGCCCATTGGAGAAAGATAATCAGAGCTAAGAAAAACTACAGTGGAGAAAGTAAGAGGCCAGAGACAGACAAAAACAGATAGCAATGCCTTACTACCACCCTGTATCCCTGGGTTAGCTGCTCCCTGAGGCAAGCCTCATCCCTGACTTTCCTGGGGCTATGTTAGGTACCCCACAAATTTCTGCTTTTGTTCCAGTTTTGTACTTTTCATTCTTTTAACTACTTACAAGTTGTACCTCTCTTAAATATGCTTTAGTATTTAAAGTGGGTATCCCTCAGACACCATATAGTTGGGTCTTGCTTTTTGGGAACATGATAACAATGATGATGATTAATAGCTCTTTTACATTAAATTGTTATAAGAGCTTACACTTTTACTTCTTCACTTGAGGAGAGGACTGAAGCATAGGCAATTGATTGGTATGCTGAATAACTTGTATGTAGCTCAGTGAAGCTAAGACAAGATCCTCAGGGCTAGAAATGCCCCAGTTGCTCTTTTGTCTTTCCCAACCACATAGTTGTTATAAAAGATAAGGTGCCAGGACCTTATAAAGCAAAAGTTAATAGGTAAAAACCAATGGTAAAGATTTCAAAGGAGGTTACTGCCGTTAGGAAAAAAGTTACCAATCGCTTTTGTTTCCAACCTTAGGAAAGAAATCTTCACCACTGGCTTCTACTTCTTTCTTAACTTTTGCTTTTTCTAGACCCAGCATATTTGTAAAGCAAAGATCAAGCCACATCCAGAACCTCTAAAGAGTTTTTGGTGCTGCTTATGTTTCGCTGTACTCATCACTGTCCTTTCCTTCCTTATCTCAGATATGCCCACCAGGATTCCACCAAAGGAGAAGTACAAATAGCTTTCCAGGCCTCCTCAGGGGAGTTCGCTATAGTTGGCATTGCACTTGATCTGGATATTAAAACCATTCAAAGAAGATACAGATATTTTGAATTTCAGCCCTTGCTCTGTAACACTTTTGTGAGAATGACTATTTTTCTTTCATTTATTTTTCCCATGAACAGTAATTGCACATATGCTATATACCAAGCACATTCTGGGCATCAGGGTACAGCAGTGAGTAAGACAGATAGGGTGCTTGCACTTATGGACAACCTTCTTGTACTACCTATGCAAATGTTTAATTACATTTCACTCAAATGTGTACTGAGTGTCTACACAGGCGCTGGTTTAAGTGCTAGGGACACAGTTGTGAACAAAATAGACCCCTCTGCTCAGTAAGTGATACTTTTAAGTGAAGAAAACCTCATGAAAAAGGCAGCATTTCTTTCCCTGCTAAAGTCCCTGAATATTTTCGCCACCTCATCTCGTCTGAATCCTTGTATGATAGCCGGAAAAATAGAAATAAAATAATTCCCTTTTAGGGTTTACGCTGTCACCAAAGGTTTCAATAGAGGGGAAAATTCAGAGAATGCTTAGTCCAATTCCTTTGTATTATATTTGTAGACACAGAGATCCAAAAAGGTTGGAAGTCGCCCAAAATCTCTACCTTATAACACAGCCAACACTAGAATCCAGATTTCCAGATTGCCAGCCCCGTATGCATTCTCCTAGGTCCAACTACTCACGTGAGAATAGCTGCTAAGGCCATATTTACCATAAATGCTGAGCGAATGAGCTTTAAAATAAGAATGGACATGATAATTCATAGGAAAAAATGTTTTGAATAGAAATTAAATATAAGAAAATTAGCCAGGAAGTTTGTATCAGAAACACGGTTATTCACAGCAAATGTTAATGATCAAAACTTAAAACTGGAAAATCATCATGGTTTGACTGTTTCTTATAGAGACAAAAGGTAGCCAAGAGTCCCTGGCGAAACCCCGCCTCCAAGTCTAAAACAGCCGGAAGGCGGAAAAACCGTACTGTGGGTCCCGGATGACTCCCGCCCCTTCCCGTCTGATTCTGAATAATGCCCACCCACGGGCTGGGAGGATGGGGTGGAGCCTAGGGAAGTTAGCATCGTTTGCCCAGGGGAGGAGCCTGGCCTCTCACATTCCTGCGTGGTGACCTGGGATTCAATCTGTGAGGCGGGAAACCTGCTAACATGACTCTTTCTCGCTTTGCTGAGAATTATTTTTCCTTTTTTTTTGAACAGTACATTCCATTTTCCTCACCCTTCTGTGTGTCCACGAGCCTAACCTTTCCTGGTCGTGTGACAAGAGCCTGGTTTTAGCCGAACTAAGAAGAAACTTTTGCAACATTTCCTGAGCGATTGATACTTGGTTGTGAGAAGGATGTTTGGGGATTCTTTGATTCTAGAATTAAGTCATTACCAATAAGCGATCATGCCTAGTATTAAAGCTTTGTAAAGCTATGTTCTTGGGTTTGAGAGAGGTTATTATTTGTTTATTTGCTTATTTTAAAAATTACTTTAGGAGATGGACATGTCACGGAATGCGGAGTTAGTAGACAAACACCTGAAGCTTCCTTAGAGTCACCTAGAATGACAACATTTGCTATCCAGGGTCCAGAATTGTAAGGCCTAACTCAAAACTTGTATAGGAAAGGAAAAGGCTGAAGGAAGATGGATGCTCAGATGTGCGTTTTAGGCTTCAACTCAGTTTCGGGGACACTGGGGAAACCATTCCAAGCAGAGAGCTGCCCCTCTTGGAAAATGGATGGTAAGTGGGGCGAATCTGAGGGATTGTGGAGCTGAACTGCAGACTGACAAGTGAGCATCCATGCCATGGCCTGTGGTAGAAGCAGCACATGCAGTTGTCCCGAGGACACTACCCTCTTCACTACACCAGAATATCTGTGCCCTTCAAGGGCGTGGCATCCTGCTTTCTCAAGCCATAGAATGCACTTACGCTTCAGGCCAGGCACGGTGGCTCACGCCTGTAATCCCAGCACTTTGGGAAGCCGAGGCAGGTGGATCACCTGAGGTCAGGAGTTCGAGACCAGCCTGGCCAACATGGTGAAACCCTGTCTCTACTAAAAATACAAAAAAAAAAAAAAAAAAAAAAATTTCCAGGCGTGGTGGCATGTGCCTGTAATCCCAGCTATTTGGGAGGCCGAGGCAGGAGAATCACTTGAACCCGGGAGACGGAGGTTGCAATGAGCCAAGATCCTGCCACTCTACTCCAGCCTGGGCAACAAGGCAGAAGCTCTGTCTCAAAAAAAAAAATGCATTTATGCTTCAAGGGAGATGATATGGCAGAAGCATCAGCCATTCATAATTTAATTGTTACATAACTTTTAAGTACTTCATTGGGATAAAATAAAATACACCCATTTAAGCATACTACTTAGTGAATTTTGACACACATGTATACCTGTGGAATCACCACCCATAGAGATGTTAAAACATTTCCACTACCCCAGAAAGTTTCCTCACCTGTTCTTTTGGTCAGTCCTCTCATTAGAGTCAATTACTATTCTGTTTCCTAATAATATAGCTTAGTTTTGCCTGATCTAGAACTTTCAAAAAATTGAATCAAACGTTACACACTTCTTTGGGGGCCTGGTTTCTTTCACATAACATAATGCTTTTTACGATGCATTCATGTTGTGTTGATAGTTTATTGCTTTTTTATTGCTGAGTAGGATTCCAAATGAAAGCCATTCACTTGCCCTTTTAGTAGTTTCTAAATTTTTGGCTATTATGAATAAAGCTGCTATGAACCTTCTTTCTGTTTCACAAGGCTTTTCAGAGTCATGTCTTTTCACTTTTTAATTTTTGAAGAAATATGTAAGAGTGGAATTGCTAAGGCAGAGAATAGATATATGTTTGACTTTCTTGGGTAAATTGTCAACATTTCCAAAGTGGTTGGGTTAATTTACACTCCCACTAGCAATGTATGAGAATTCCATGTGCTCTGTATCCTACTAACATTTGAGGTAGTCAGATTTTTGTTTCTGTTTCTTTTACCATTATACTGGTGGATAGTGGTATCTCATGGGGGTTTTACCAAGCATCCTCATAATAACTAGTAACTCTGAGCATCTTTTCATGTGCTTACAAACATTTCATATTGTTTTTTGTAACGTGTTCATTTTAAGTTCTTTGCTCAATTGACATTGGGTTGCTTGCCTTTTAAATATACATATATCTATGTATAGATCTATATCTCTCTATATCTATATCTATATCTATGTCTATATCTATATCTATATCTATTTTTGAGACAAAGTCTCACTCTGTTGCCCAGGCTGGAGTGCAGTAGTGTGATCTTGGCTCACTGCAACCTCTACCTCCTGAGTTCAAGTGATTTTCCTGCCTCAGCCTCCCTAGTAGCTGGGACTACAAGCGTGCACCACCACACCTGGCTAATTTTTATTTATTTTTTATTTTTTTATTTTTATTTTTTTTTATTTAGTAGAGACATGGTTTCACCATGTTGGCCAGGCTGGTCTCAAACTCCTGACCTCAAGTGATCTGCCCACCTTGGCCTCCCAAAGTGCTAAGATTGCAGATGTGATTCACCCCACCAAGCCTAAATATTGATTATAGGAGTTCTCTATACATTTTGGATATATATTCTGGATATATTCCTGAACATATGTCAGATACATGTATTGCAAGAATTTCACTCTGTGTCTCACCTTTTATTTTCTTAATGGTGTCAAAAAAGATATTTTTGATTTGATGAACTGCAATTGACTAATAATTTTTATTTTACAGTTAGTGCTTTTGATGGCCCACCTAAGAAATTTTTGCCTACTCAAAGCTGCATAGATAGTCTCTGCTTTCATCTATAAGTTTTCGAGCTTCATGTTTAAGCTTATGATCCATCCCCAAGTAATTTTTGTTCATAGTCTAAAATAGAGATCATGGATCACATTTTCCTATATGTTTATTTGATTATTGTAGCTTTGTTTGTTGAAAAGACTTTTGTTTTTGAATTGCCTTGGTGCCTTCTTTTGTTGAAAATTAATTGAATATGTGAGTCTATTTCTGGACTCTTCCAGTAGCATTAATCTACTTGTCTGTCTTATATCAGTATCAAACTATCTTAAATACTGTAGTATTATAATTAGTGCTTAAATCAATTGGAGTAAGTTCTACTGAGTTCTTTTTCAAGATTCTTTTGGCTAATTTAGAACCTTAGCATTTTCATATACATTTTAGAATGAACTTAATAGCTACCAAAAAAAGCTACTGGGAATAAGGTAGTGATTGTATTGAACCAGTAGCTTTGGGGAAAATTGACATACTAAAAATACTGCCTTTCAATCCATGATGTTATATATGTCCTTTTACTTAGAGCTTTTTAAAATTTCTCTCTACACTTTTTGCACGCATTTTGTACTTTTTAGCATACAGGTCTTGCTTGTCTTTTGTTAATTTTATTCTTAAGCATTTAATTTTTAAATAATTTTATAAAAGGTACCACTTTTAAATCTTAATCTCTAATTGTGCCTATTATGTAGAGTGCAATAAATTTTTTTATCTTGACCTTGTATCATGCAATCATGTTAAATTCACTTAATTCTAGTGGTTGCTATGTAGATTTCTTAGCATTACTTATGCACATGACCATGTCATCTATGAATAAAGTTTATTTCTATTTTCTAATCTTAATGCCTTTTATTTATTTTCCTTCTCTTTTACTGATTAGGATCCCATTCCACTCTTGAATAGAAGTTATGGAATTGGATATACTTATCCAAAGATTGTTCCTGGTCTTTGGGCAAAGCATTCAATAGTTCACCATTTTGTATGATGTAGGTTTTCATAGAGGTTCTTTTTTTTTTTTTTTTTTTTTGAGACAAGGTCTCCCGTGTCACCCAGACTGGAGTACAGTGGCATGATTGTGGCTCACTGCAGTCTCAAACTTCTGTACTCAAGCAAACCTTCTGCATCAGCCTCCCGAGTAGCTAGGACAATAGATGCGCGCCACCATGGCTGGCTAATTTCTTTTGTAGAGACAGGTCTCGCCGTGTTTCCCAGGCTGGTCTCAAACTCTTAGCCTCAAGTGATTCTCCCAGCTCAGCCTCCCAAAGTGCTGGGATTACAGGTGTGAACCATTGCACCAAGGCTCAAATTATTTTCTAATTTGTCTTGTGATTTCTTCTTTGACCTATATCAGTTATTTAAAAAATGTGTTGCTAAATTTCTAAATATTCTTCAATTTTCTAGATATCTTATTATAATTTAATACCATTGTGATCACAGAGCATACTCTGTATTATTTTGATCCTTTGAAATGTATTTCATGATCCAGCATGTAATCTATCTTGGAGAATGTTTCAAGTGAATTTAAAAAGGATGTTTACTCTCCGGTTGTTGGGTGCAATGTTCTATAAATTTCAATCAGATCAGGTCGATTATTAGCGCTGCTAAAATCTTTTATATCCCTATTGGTTTTTCTAGGTAAGTGCTCTATCAATTACTGAGATAGGTGGGGTTTTAAAATATCCCATCATAATTGTGTGATTGTTCTTTTCTCCCTTCAGTTCTGCTGATTTCTGCTTTGTGGCACACTTATTAGATGCACAGGCATGTAGGATTTTTGTCATCTTCTTAATGAATTCAGCCTTTCATTATTACTAAAGACCCCTCATTGTTTTAAAGTCTATAATGTTAGGTATTAATATAGACACAGCAGCTTTCTTTTGCATAGTGTTTTAAATTTTTAAAAATTTTCCTGGTGATTTCTTCTTTGACCCATGAGCTTCTTTTGAAGACTGTTGCTTCCTTTCAAATGTCCTTATTATTGATTTCAAGTATAATTATGTTGTAATCGAAGAATATATGTGTTATATGAATTCAGTCCTCTGAAATTTACTGGGACTTATTTCATTGCCCAACATAGGGTCTATCCAAGAGATAGACTGGAAAAGACCCTGATCTTGTTGTATGGGCATGGTTTTAAGCTTTGTTAGAATAGGTCTTTATTTTTCCTTTAATGCTGGGGATAGGGCAAATCTTTTAGTCATGACATGACAGCTTTTCTCGTCTAAGGCATGTCTTTTCTGACGTCTAATAAAAAGCAAGATGCGTTTCCCAAGCCTTTATAACTAAACTGGACACAAACTGAAACTTGGTTTCCAGAAACTACTATTCAGCAACTCAGCCTTTCAGAGTGAATTCTTTGATTTATTCCACAGACATGTAGTTCAGCTGTCAGTCAAGGACTAGGGGCTCCCCTTCCCTTAGTTTTTTTTCTATTCTAGGATTTTCTTCCTCTGTTTTCATTTCCTGACTCCTTAGGCCAATGCAAGTGGACTTTTCTACTTGAGTTCTGTTTGTTACAGACTGTACAGACCCAGAAGTGCACTGATATGGTTTGGCTGTGTCCCCACCTAAATCTCATCTTGAATTGTAGCTTCCACAATTCCCACCTGTCATGGGAGGGACCAGGTGGGAGGTAATTGAGTCATGTGGGCGGGTCTTTCTTGTGCCGTTCTCGTGATGGTGAATAAGTCTCACGAGATCTGATGGTTTTATAAAGGGGAGTTTCTCTGCACGATTCTGTTATTGTCTCTTGTCTGCTGCCATGTAAGATGCGTCTTTCACCTTGCGCCATGATTGTGAGGTCTCCCCAGACATGTGGAAATGTGAGTCCATTAAACCTATTTTTCTTTATAAATTACACAGTCTCGGGTATATTTATCAGTGTACTAATATGTGCACTTAGGGAAAAAGCTAAATAAATGCGCATAGCAAAAATGTAGTTACCTTCTTCGATCACATCCTCTCTGTTGTCAGCTTGCTTTTGTCTATTAGTGTGTTCAAGCAGTTTTCAGTATTTTATCCCAGTGTTTATAATTGTTGTTTATAGAAGGGTAGTCAGATACAAGTTATTCCACTATTACTGGAAGTTGGAACCTGTGATTTAATTTAAAAGGCAGATCAGGGGTAGATTCTGCATTTGCAATCTTGACTTAGACCATCTGGGTTTGCATCCTGGTCCTGTCACATTTAATTATGGGATCTTGGCCAATCTTTCTGTGTTCTAATATTTTCATCTGTAAAATGAAGGTGATAATAGTTCCTAAGCTACAAGGTTTTTGTGAGAATAAAATAAAATTTTACATGTAAAGCTTTTAGTATAGCACCTGGCTCTGATGTTTCATAAATATCAGTCAGTGTCTACTGGGGACCCCTTCTTTTTCTACTGTGAACAGAAAGCACTGTATCTTTAGCTACTTCTCTGACTGAATTCCAGAATGTGATTCTGGTTAATTAGGGTTATATTGAATTACATAACGTTTGCTAGTTCCTAATCCACTATACTGCCCTTGAGATAAACGGTATTGTATAAATGCTTGTGATGCCAGAAGTGCTCTTATTCATGGTGTAGATAGTTCAATGAATTCTTCCATAGATCTTTTCCTCCTGAAAACTTACAATTTACTTTCTAATGGAAGGTATATTCAATGTGCTTGTCTCTTCAAAATGCATATTAAAAAACCTTCAAAGCTGACAGTTTGTAAACAACATACTAGAGATAAAGGAATCGTGCTTTTGCTGCCTCATATACTTTTTAAAATAGAACCAAGGTAATGTTTTTGAACTCTATTATCTCACTGCTAAATTGAAGATTTTAATTTTTTATCTTCAAACAAGCACTTTTGTTTTGGACTAAACTTGAAGTAGCAATAAATCACCACATTAGTAAAAGCAAGTTCCAAACTCAGTCAGAGAAGACAACAAAATACACTGATGTGGTAGGTTAGCATGTAAATTCTGTGAGCTGGCAATCAATATGAAATGTCTTGTGTAAGGTCTGAGATGCATAAAGGTCAATGCTGATAGGAGAGATTATTTGTCCTTTTACTTTTCCTGTTGGGGGAGGATGGAGAAGGAAAGCGAGGTAATTCAAAGCCCCTCCAATGTTAGCCATGACAAATGTGAGGCAGGCAGGACATCGTAAGTGTTACATGAAAGGTGGTAAGGAAAATGCCTGCAAAATTGAAAACTCACCTCTCTATGAGTTTGTGTGGTCACATGGATACAGCACCAGACTGGACATCAGGAAGGAGTCTCTTCACTACGGACTTCAGGATATTCAAATGGACCTACAGGGACCTCAGTGTTGATAACAGAAATCAATGGATGCAGAATAGCTTCTCACAGCATCTTTGTGAGAAAAAGTAAAACAGATGTAACGGATTCAGAAAAAATGCAAAGCACAGTGTAAAATAAGATAACATAATTGGGGCCAGGCGCAGTGGCTCACGCCTATAATACCAGCACTTTGGGAGGTTGAGGTGGGCAGATCACGAGATCAAGAGATCGAGACCATCCTGGCCAACATGGTGAAACTCCATCTCTACTAAAAATACAAAAATTAGCTGGGCAGGGTGGCACACACCTGTAGTCCCAGCTACTTAGGAGGCTGAGGCAGGAGAATCACTTGAACCTGGGAGGAGGAGGGTGCAGTGAGCCGAAATCGTGCCATTGCACTCCAGCCTGCTGACAGCCTGATGACTCCGTCTCTAAAAAAAAGAAAAAAGAAAAAAAAATAACATAATTACTTGTTTATATAAAGCAGGAGTTTCCACGGCCAGGCGTGGTGGCTCACACCTGTGGTCCTAGCACTTTAGGAGGCTGAGGCAGGAAGATAACTTGAGCTCAGCCTGGGCAACATAGTGAGACCTCACCTCTAAAAGAAGAAAAGAGCAGTAGTTTTCAGTTTAGGAATTAGTCTTGTTTTTCTATCTTTCATCACAAACTGTGCATATTAAATGTCTTAATACCTGGAAAAATGTTAATTTGCCTGAGTCATATAAAAATTAACAACAGAATCATGTCTACCACTCAAATCTCTTATCAATGTCTAATCCAGGAAATATAATTTTTTTCACAATGTTCTGTCCTTCTAACGATATTATTATTATTATAATAGAAATTCCGGTCAGTCCCCTATTATTACTGCCTTAAATGTGTCACTCTCTTCATCAGGGGCTACTTTCCCAATGCCTGTATTTTTCCTCTGTGTCTTTCCTGCTCGTATGGAATAGGGTTGCTGATACAATACAGGATACTCAGTTGAATTTGAAATTCAGATAAACAATGAGTAAGTGTTTAGTGTAAGTAGATTCCGTGCAAAGTGTCATCCTGAGTTTTCTTAATCTAGCAACCCTAATTTAGAAGCTTTGCTGATCCTGAACAGATGAAGGACAAGGACTTAGACAGTCAAGTCTCAGCACAGGAGCGGCTGAATTTTGTCTTACAGCCAATATTTACTACAATATTTTAAGTTGGAAAAGGACGGTCTATGATAATAACAAATTATGAAGGCTGTGTATATAGAAAGAGAGTTTAATGTTTGCATAAAATAAAACGTAGTTGACAGAATCTGGCACAGACCTTGTTATTCTACAATCCAGTAATTAGAGTCTAGTGAAAAATTCTTTTTCATAAATGAGAATTACTAATATTGTATTTATATAATGAAATGAAGCATGTCTGCACAAGGTTGAAAAAGACAGCCTTTGCAAGGGGGTAAGGAAGCTGAGGGCAGAATCACTGAGCTCTGGGTTCTCTCTATAGCATGTGCTTGCTGCACCGGTCTCCCATTTCCAACCATCTGATTTTTTTTTTTCTTTTTGAGGCAGAGTCTCGCTCTGTTGCCCAGGTTGGAGTGCAGTGGTACAGTCTCGGCTCACTGCAACCTCCGTCTCCCGGGTTCAAGCGATTCTCCTGCCTCGGCCTCCTGAATAGTTGGGATTACAGGCTTGCACCACCACGCCTGGCTAATTTTTTTTGTGTATTTTTAGTAGTGATGGAGTTTCACCATGTTGGCCAGGCTGATCTTGAACACCTGACCTCAGGTGATCCACCCACCTCGGCCTCCCAAAGCGCTGTGATTACAGATGTGAGCCACCGTACCCAGCCTCCAACCGTCTGAATTTAATGAAGATGTGCTTCTGCTTTTCCTTAAGCTGCACTGACTCTAAGATGTCAGGAACTAACTTTCTATCATTCCAAATATGTGGAAATGGAAGATCTTTAAAAAAAAAAATCTCCTTGGAATAAGCTATATCTCTGGAAAAATTGGGAAATAATTTGCTGTCTCCTCACCCCTTACAATAGCTGCCGTTGTTTCTTTCTCTCTCTCCATATCCCATTGCCATGTGACTTCACAGCCTATTCTGTCAAGAGCCTATTTTCCGCCCCCTGACTCTGGGCTAGAATTTCCTCTTGCTTTGACCAATACAAATGCTGCAGAATTGAAGGCCCCAGAGTTTGATCTCAGAAAGCTTTGGGTGCTTCTGCATGTCTGTCTCATAAGTCTGTCCAGCTGTTGTTTGTTGAGTCTGAACTGGTGTGCTAGAGGGTGAGACCACATGGATCACAGAAGAACTTTTTTCAGCTGAGGCTTCATTTGACAAGCCCCTTCTAGCTGAACCGGGAGCTGACCGTGGATACATGAGTAAGTCCAGCTGAGACCTGCCAAGCCTGGCCCAATCCACTCAGACTTGTGGACTAAAGAAATCATTGTGGTGGCTCACACCTGTAATTCCAGCACTTTGGGAGGTCGAGGCGGGCAGATCACCTGAGGTCGGCAGTTTAATACCAGCCTGAAACATGGAGAAACCCCGTCTCTACTAAAAATAAAAAATTAGCCGGGCATGGTGGTGGATGCCTGTAATCCCAGCTACTCAGGAGGCTGAGGCAGGAGAATCACTTGAACCTGGGAGGCAGAGGTTGCAATGAACAGAGATTGTGCCACTGCACTCCAGCCTGGGCAACAAGAGCAAAACTCCAACTCAAAAAAAAAAAAAAAGAAAAAAAATCACTGTTCCTTCATCCCACTTATTTTGGTAGTGGTTTGTATAGAAGTAACTAGCTGATACAAAAACTGGTACCTAGAAGTGGGGTGCTGCCATATTAAAAATCCAAAGTATGAGGCATTTGTTTGAAGACCAAATGATAAGCCAGTGATCATTTTGTTATAATTCTTATCGCTTGGGAATACAATAAGCCAGGGCCCAGGGGAGTTGGGAAAATAAGTAGCTGTCTCTCCATCCCTACTTCCCTTCAACAAAGTCTTCTCGAATGTATTATATTCACAGATAGCCCATACTTCTAAGGAATCAGTAGCTGGAAGGATGATGGTATAGTTTGGATGTGTGTCCAGCCCAAATCTCATGTTAAAAGGTAATCTCGGGCCGGGCACAGTGGCTCACGCCTGTAATCCCAGCACTTTGGGAGGCCAAGGCGGGCGGATCACGAGCTCAGGAGATCGAGACCATCCTGGCTAACACGGTGAAAGCCCGTCTCTACTAAAAATACAAAAAATTAGCCGGGCATGGTGGCGGGCACCTGTAGTCCCAGCTACTCGGGAGGCTGAGGCAGGAGAATGGCGTGAACCCGGGAGGCGGAGCTTGCAGTGAGCCGAGATCGCACCACTGCACTCCAGCCTGGGCGACAGAGCAAGACTCCATCTCAAAAAAAAAAAAAAAAAAAAAAAAAAAAGGTAATCTCCAGTGTTGGAGGAGGGGCCTGGTGAAGGTGATTAAATCATGGGGGCAGATTTTTCATGAATGGTTTAGCACCATCCATTTGGTGCTGTCCCTGTGATTGTGAGTGAATTTTCACCAGATCTTGTTGTTTAAAAGAGTGTGGCACCTCTCTCTCTTGTTCCTGCTTTTACTGTGTGACATGCCTGCTTCCACTTCGCCTTCCACCATGAGTAAAAGCTCCGAGGCCTCCCAGAAGCTGAGCCATGTTGGTGTCATGCTTGTATATCTCACAGAACCTTGAGTCAATTAAATCTCTTTTCTTATAAATTACCCGGCCTCAGGTCAAGAACTGCCTAACACAAATGAATAAGAAGGGACAGGAATTCAAGAGTCATAAGGTTTAAAAAGAACTATATTTTCATGATAGTGTAATAACAGAATTTAATGAGATTGTTGTCCTAACATGCAATGTAAAGGTGCACCGTGGTGAGGCCAATCCTGGAAGGAATGCTGTAGTAAAAGGAGGCTGAGATTAAACAGACAGCAACAGTACTGTGCTGACCGTTAAAAGGGAGAGTATTGAGGGTGCTAGGAAATCTCACACACACACACACACACACACACACCCCAATAAGGACAAGCCATATACTCAGACATTTTTCAGATCCCACCTCCTTCCAACTACCTTAGCCTACTCTTTGTGGAGTGGTGAGGGGCACATATGGGCAGTAGTGGAGCATCATCAGAGAGCTGGCTGTGTATTATTTAACTGGAAGCCAAACTGGGAGACACACAGAAGCCATGATCCCAGGCATTCTCTGTGCTGCACTGAACTTGCATGCGTTGGTAGAAACCATGCTTATAAGGATTTACTTAAAGATGAGGTCATCAGAAATTAATTTTTTCTAATATCAAGAATTGCCTAGCTCTTTTAAATGACATCCTAGAAATCACTCTCAAGCTTCTTATTTATTCTTCCTTTAAGTTTCCATAGAAAATTTAGATTCATCTCTGTAATCTAGAAAGAAAAATATGACTCAACAATTTCATAAAATGTGACCCAAATTGTGCCTTTGTGGAATATATCCCTGTAAGAGATTCAGAAATAATCACAAAAGGAGATTCCTGAATGACTGGCAATGTATTATGTTCATGTGCCTCAAAGCCCTACAATATGGGAAAATAATAGATCTTACACAGAATAGAATCAGTTAAGGAATGAAACATCAAACTCAATCAGATACTCCATGTTTCTGGCCTCTGGTCACCATTTTGCAGCAATCCTTGTTATGACCTCACTTCATCCTTCACTTAGCCAGATGAAATTGGCTATTTCCAAAAGAGAGTTAGGCCCAAGCCTGGCACAGTGCTTTAAGAAGGAACCTGCATCAGGATGCAAAAACGAGACACCCTGCTGATCTGTTTTTCATTGACTGCATTTTAAATTGCTTCCATTTTGCATCTAGTCCAAGTGGAGAAGAGCTGAAAATAAAATGTAAATCACTCTGTAATAGTTTTAGGAATTAGAAGAAATAGCAGCAGCCATCTGATTATAGCTCTGTAAGAAGGGCAAATTCTCCCAAAGCAGAGAAACTGTGATGTTGTTGACTCTGTGAAATAATAAATGACAATAGCCTCAAGAAAAATGTCAGAGTGAAGCTCAGCTATGTTTGTGCATGCTAGAGGATCAATGTGTCCATGTAAAAGCTATACAATGGATTTAAAACTATCAAAGCCATATGAAAAAATGAAACCCAGTGTTATTATTTTAAATATACTTCTTTTGATGAGTTCTATACACATCGTAGCCAAATCCAGTCAAAGTTCACATTTGTACAATAGACTTGTGTTTACATATATGTTATCATTCTAATGTTGTCTTGCTTCTGAAGTTTTTGCACATGAAATATTTGACACAGATTTACCTACCCCTAAAAATGTTTTCCTAATAATGGGAATAAATACAAGTTAAATTTATTATGTTTGTAATGTCAGAAATACGATCTCAATTTTTAACAATATTGAAGTGTAATTCACATATTATACAATTCACCCTTTTAAAATATACAATGTGATAATTTTTAGTATATTCAGAGTTGTGTAACCATTACTACAATCTAATTTTAGAACATTTTTGTCACCCCAAAAAGAAATCTCATACTCATTAGCAGTCACTCTACATTCCCCTCCCAAGCTACCCCACCCCAGTCCTAGGAAACGACTAATCTACTTTCTGTCTCTTATAGATTTTCCTATTTTGGACATTTCATATAAATTCAATTATACAACATGTAGTCATTTGTGACTGGCTTCTTTCACTTAACATAATGTATTCAAAGTTCATACATGTGATAGTATGAATCAGAGCTTTATTCTCTTCATGGCTGAATAATCTTTCATTATATGGATATAACACATTTTATTTGTCCATTTATCAGTTTATGTACATCTGGACTGTGTTCACTTTTTAGCTACTATAAATAAATGCCACCATGAACATTTGCATACAAATATTTGTGTGAATATCTGTTTTTAATTCTCTTGGGTATATACCGAGAAGTAGAATTGTTGGCTCATGTGGCTCCTTCATGTTTAACATTCTGAGGAACTGCCAAATTGTTTTCCACAACAGCTGTACCATTTTACATTTCACCAATAGTGTTGAGGATTCCAGTTTCTCCATATCCTTGACAATTTTGTTGTCTATCTTTTTTATTATAGACATCCTAATGAGAGTAAAATGATACCTAACTGTGCTTTTGATTTTTAGTTCTCTAACGATTAATGATGTTGGGAATTTCTTGTGTACTCATTGACAATTTGTATATCATCTTTGGAGAAATGTCTGTTGGGATCCTTTATCCATCTTTAGATTGGGTTATTTTTTTCATTATTGTGTAAGTTTTTACATATTCTGGTTACAAGTCTTACAAGATATATAGTTTGTAAATATTTTCTCTCATTCTGTAGGTTGTCTTTCACTTTCTTAGTAATTATTTGCCGCACAAACGTTTTTAATTTTTATAAAGTTCAGTTTATCTATCTTTTCTTCTGTTACTTCTGCATTTGGTTTCTTGTGCTTTTGCCTAACCCAAGTTTGTGAAGATTCGCTCTTACATTTCTCCTAAGAGTTTTATAGTTTTAGACACTAACATTTATGTCTGTAATCCATTTTGAGTTAATTTTTGTTCATAGTGTGAGGAAAGGGTCCACCTTCATTCTTTTACATGTGGATATTCACTTGTCTCAGCACATTTGTTTAGAAGATTATTCTTCCCTCCATTGAATTGTCTTGGCACTGTTGTCAAAAATCAATCAACCATAAGTGTAGGGGTTTATTCCTGAACTGTCAATTCTATTCCATTGATATATATGTCTGTCCTTATGCTATACCACAAAGTCTTGTTTACTGTGGCTTTGTAGGAAGTTTTGAAATAAGTAAGTATGAGTCCTTCAACTTTGTTCTTCTTTTAAAATATAGTTTTGATTTTTATGAATTTATTGAATTTCTATATGAATTTTAGGATTAGCTTGTCAATTTCTTCCAAAAAGGCAGCTGAGTTTTTAAAAAATAATACTTGCATAAAATTTGTAGATAAATGTGAGGAGTATTGCCATCTTAATAATATTGTCCTCTCATCCATGAACATGGGATGTATTTCCATTTATTTAAATCTTTTTTAAGCAACATACTTTTTATTAACACAGTTGTTGAGCCTCAGAGAAGTCAGTTAATCTCTCTGGATGTCAGTTTTATCACTTATGAATTAGAAATAAAAATGTCTATTTCATAAGCCTATTGTGAGATTTAGTCATGATTCCCATAAAGACACCCACTAAAGGGTAACATATACATGATGCCTAAAATTAAAATAAGATAATCAAAGTGAAGAAGTTCTCTAATTGCCTAAAAAAATAAATGGACACAGGAACCCTACTTTTGGAATTTGAAAGTATTCTTATTTAAAAATACAATCAGTGCTTAATTATCCAAGCGAATATGCTACACAGACAGCAAACAGTATTATTTATTGATATTCTAAAACTATTTTTAGCTAGGAAATTGCAAAGTTTAATCTCACTAAACCATAAACATATGGTAAGTGTAAGTACCAAAGTTGGCAAATTGAATGACATCTTTGATTGATATAAAGGTGAATTCTCCAGAAGATGACTGAGAAAATTGATGGTTGCTAGATGATACTTTTTGTGCATGCTGCATCTTTACAATAGGTTAGGAGAAAGCAGTAGTGACTTGTGATTACTGTACATTTTTTTAATGCCTTGAAATTTTGTTCAACCCATAATTTACTCAAGCTTTTCTTCAGTCCAATCTCCAAGGGCCTCTACAATGTTCTCATTAAATCTTTATTTGCCATTGCACTCATTTCATAAATGCACTGACATTTGATGAGGGAAATACCCTCACTCTTCACATTCATGCCTATTTCCCCCACTATTTAGCCCTTATCCTAAAATATCTAGAGTATATTGTACATAATATATTCATACTGAGCATGTATTACATCAAAGATAAATGTGTGAATGAGAGAGATATATCTTTTCATTCATTATCATTTTATTTGTTCATATGTGCATGTAAATAATTTTTTTTAGAAATGGATCTCCCTGTGTCACTCAGGCAGGAGTAAAGTGGCAACTTCTTAGCTCACTGCAGCCTCAAACTCCTGGGCTCAAGCAACCCTCCCACTTTAGCTTCCTGAGTAGCTGGGACTGCAAGTCCTAATTTAAAAAATCAGGTGGACCATCATGTCCAGCTGATTTTTTTAAATTAAAGAGAACCAATGTTGGTTTATTTCATTGTATAGCAATTTATATTACAGGTTAAGTGTTGAATAGTTTTTTCACCCAAACCCTTTTATACATTTCTATGTATGTTAGAGGGAGACTACTCTTTGGTTAGAAAACATAATTGTTTTGATTTGATGACAATACAGAAGGAAGTATTCCATATGTAAAAATATTCTCAAAATACAAAGATTTCTTTTTATTTAATATGTAGACATGCATCAAATCAATGATTTAAAAGTCTATCTTAAGAAGCTACAAAAAGAAAAGCAATTAAAAACCAACATGTGTACAAGGAAAGCAATAAAAAAGATTACACAAACCAATGTAATAGAAAATAAAAAATTAACAAAGCCAAAAGACGGTCTTTTAAAAAGATCAACAAAATTGATAAACCCAAAGCAAGACTGATTTAACAAAAGAAAGAAAAAGAAAGGTAAACACAAATCACTAATACCAGAAATGAAAAAAGTTATCACTACAGACCCCACAAACATCAAAAGAATGTTTAAGAAATATAACTGTTTGAAGTTGACAGTTTGCCAAATTAGATGAAATAGGCAAATTCTTTGAAATCTAAAATTTACAAGATGAGAGAGAATGTCAAAATTGCCTTATGTCTACTAGAGAAACTGAATTATCAAAAACCTTACCACAAAGAAAACTTCAGGCAAAGAGACTTTCAATAGTAGATTTTATCAAATAGTCAAGGAGAAAATAATACTAATCTTATGAAACTTATTTCAGCAAATAAAGGAAAGAACACAAGGAACACTTTTTAACTAATTTTATGAGACTAGCATAATCCAATAACAAAACTTGGCAGAAATAAATAGAAGAGAAAACAAATACAGACCAATATCACTATGAACAAAGATACAAAATTCCCTAACAAAAAAAATTAGCAAATCAAATCTAGTTGTACATTAAAGGAATAATACATCATGATCATATAAGGTGTATCTCAGGAATAGGAGCTTAATTTAAAATTCAAAATTAGTCATTTAATTTGTCATATTAATAGAATAAAAGAGAAAATCATGATTATTTCAATAGTGGTAGTAAAAATAATTAGCAAAATTCAGTATCTTTCATGATGTAAGTGCTTTGCAAATCAGGTTGCAGGATACAAGGTTAAATGTATTTTTATATACTAACAGAAAACAACTGAAAAATAAAATTGATAAAACTTTATTTTTAAGACCACTAAAAAATTATTTAGGAATAAGTTTAACAGAAGTCACTGCATTGAAGACTCCAAAAATTGTTGAGAGAAATAAAAAAATAACTAAACTAATGGAGAAGTATGCCATGTTTATGAATTAGAAGACTTCATGCTGTTAACATCATAATGAATGTCAATTCTTCTCAATATAATCTATAGATTCAGTGCAATCCCAATAAAAATCCCATAGATATTTTTTGTAAAAATTTGCCACCTGAATTCTAAAATTTATATAAAATGCAAAGGACTTAAAATAGCAAAACAGTTTTGAAAACAAATAGAGAAATGGCATCACCTGATTTCAAAACTTACTACAAAGTTTCAGCAATTAAGATAGTGTGCTCAACATTCTTTGTCATTAGAGAACTGCAAAACAAAACAACAATGAGATAACACTATACATCCACCAGAATGGTTAACATAAAACAACAACAACAACAAAAAAACCTAACAATATCACACAGGACTCTCATATATTATTGTTGAGCATGTAAAGTGGTACAAACTCTTTGGGTTCTTATAAAACTCAACGTACTCCAAATTCTACTTCTAGGTATTTACCCAAAAGAAGTAAAAACATGTATCCACAAAAAGGCTTATACAAGAATGTTCATAGCAGCTTTATTTATAATTGCCCCAACTGGAAACACTCCAGTATCCACCAATAAGGGAATTGTTGTAAATTCATGCTATGAAATACTACTCAGCCATACAATAGAATGGACTACTAACACAAAACCTTATGGATGAATGTCAGAAATGTTATGCTTAGTGCAAAAGTACATGCTGTCTGATTTCATTTATATGAAATTCTATAATAGGTAAAACTAATGTATAAGAAAAAAAACAGAACTTTGAAGGAATGGGGATGGAGAGTTCATTTCTAAGATAAAGACAATATACTTGATGAGGGTTTGAGGTTCAAGTAACATGCTTAAAAGGTTTCTGCACTTTCTCAAAAGAAAAAAATATATAAGCAAATATTGATTCTCAATGATGCATATGCTGAAGTTTTTGAGGAGGAGAGCTTGATGGTTTTTATTTACTTTGAAATGCATAAAAAATAAGATGGCTTGATGGTTGGATAGAGAAATGGAGAGATGGATAGATACATAGTAAATCAAGTAGAGAAATTTTAATTGTTGAGCCAAGGTGGAGAGTATATAGGTGCTTAATGTAAAATTATTTTGACTTTTCTGTATGTTTGAAATGTTTCATAATAAAATGGAAGGAATTGAATGATGGTATCAAACCATTTGGTATTTAGTTTACATAGGACATAGAAGATAAATGCAAAGGTTATGTTTTGAAATCACAATATTGTAAACCAAAAATAAAATCCTAAACCCTCCAGTCAACTGAATGGATATTCTCTACCTTTTGGAGTTTAGACAAAACTAACGAGCATTAATGTTAAAATAGAGATCTGAAGACTGACAAAACAGACTCTTTGGCAATAAGAACAAATTCCAACCTGACTCTTGTATAGCATCACATGATCATGAAGGAAATCAACATATTTTACCCAAAATATATTTCTTTGACATATTTTGAAATAACCTTGCAAAGCCATCTTTTGTGGCTGATATTTTGCATCTGTAGAGAATTTCCACTAATGCAGCGAGGGCTTTCCCCAATCTAAGAGAGATCGACTAAGAAACTTACACCTCTTAAGAGAACAGAATACCATCTGCTCTCTCTGAAACCTGCTCTTCTTGAGACCTTTGGAAACTCCTGTGGTAAATTCAAGACGACTGTCCAGAAATTCCGATGGTTGCTAAAGAATTGCTAGTGCTGAAGGGCAAAGATCAGGGGTTGGCTGGTCTTAGTCCTGTTTTCCCCAGAAGTGGACTCCTAAGACAAGGGTTCAAGTACAAATAGTTTGCCTGGAAGGTACAGGGAAGACAAACAAAGGTGTGGGGAAGTGATACAGGGATGGAAAATTGATTCCATTTCCCAATTGATGTGCGTTAGTAAGTCAGCTACCACAGGGGGCTGTCAGGGCTTACTCTTATGGGGGAACTCTGAGAAGTGGTATAAAACACACATTTCAGAATTATCTCATCTGAGAGGTGAGAAGGCTGGAGTACTTATACACTGGCTACCAAGAGGCACTGGTTAAGGGAGGCTTCCAGGGCAGGTGCACTCCTTAGTACTTTGGGCTTGGCATGCAAGGAGACAGAGCTGCCTCTCTTGGTTTTAGAAGAGGACATGGATACATGAATCTGGGGGCTGAATGTTGGCTGGAGTGCACAGAAGTAGCACAGCCTAAGGGGCAAGGGCAGGGCACAGATGGGGCTTGATGGCTGTGCTCCTCAGGTATCACTACTGGAAAGTGCTCCAGGCTCCAGGCAGTGATAGCGAGGGCAAGGAAACGCACGGTGCACCCCTGTTCTGACCAGGGTCTAAGCTAGTCTTCTGTCTTCACAATCCCACTGCCCCTCACCTCCACTCCTGATTTGACCACTCCTAGCAGTACTATTGTTGAGTAACTGCAAGAGTACATGAATCAGGTGACAGTTTGATGAAAGTTAAACTTGCCTACATAGATATCACATTTTGAAGACAATTGCAGAAGCTCATACGTGGACCCCTGGGAGTTCCTTTGAAGCCCCAGATCAAAATGTACTCAGCATGGCTGCCTGCATAGCTAGTAGCCAGGTAAACCCTTATCCTGGTTCCCAATTGTCAAACAGTCCTGATGTCTCATCCCTAGGAAAACTGATGACCCAATGGATTGAACTGCAAGGTAATCATTTGGAAGGTTTTATTTTTTGGATTTCACAATATAATCTTCTATTTCTAAGTTTTCATTAGGGGAAATCAAGAGCAATTATGCAAAAGTTCAGCCAGGAAATACATGACAGCTTGTAATGAGGTGTAGTCCTAGCAATCAAAGAGTCTGAATTTAATTTGTGTTCTTCTGTTATGACTTTTTATAATGTGCATTTGGAGAGCTTTTTATAAACATCTAAATTGCAATTTTATGCTACTGGTATTGAGTTGGGTTTTTCTTTATTGTGTATGTTACTAGTGTTATTAACTAGGGTATGTGAACTACTGATCCTCTAAGAATTTATTTACTGGAATAAAATACTGACATAATAGTGTTACTATGCCTGAATAATTACAAGATTGACAAAATGTCCTTAGCATGTGGGTGTGCCTTAATTTCTCCATTTGTAACTCAAGAAGAGTAATGTTGGTTTAACTCTGAGGAGAATTGGTTAAATCACTATTGAATTTTCAAATTGCGTTTTCAGGTCAAAGCAAAGAAAGCCTAATTTAGAGGAAAGAACAAATTGTTATAGAGTAAAAATTTAATCATTTTCTATGTTATAAATCTCTCCTATAATTTGCCTCTTTGTTTTTTCACTATAGAGCACGTTGGGAATTGGCAGAGAAGGCAGAGATTAAATGAATTTTGTCTGAAAAAAGATAAGGCAATATACAGCCAAATGATGTTTGAATTTAAACATTGGGTTTGCCTGGCCGGGCATGGTGGCTCACACCTGTAATCCAGCACTTTGGGAGGCTGAGGTGGGTGGATCAGCTGAGGTCAGGAGTTTGAGACCAGCCTGACCAACTTGGTGAAACCCCGTCTCTACTAAAAATACAAAAATTTGCCAGGCGTGGTGATGGGTGCCTGTAATCCCAGCTACTCAGGAGGCTGAGGCAGGAGAATCACTTGAACCCAGGAAGCAGAGGTTGCAGTGAGCTGAGACCCTGCCACTGCATACCAGCCTGGGCAACAGGGCAAGACTCCATCTCAAAAAAAAAAAAAAAAAAGGGTATACTTTAGAAATATAGGCTAAACAACAATTTTAAAAAGAGGCCAGGCACAGTGGCTCATGCCTGTAATCCCAGCACTTTGGGAGGCTGAGGAGGGCAGATCACGAGGTCAGGAATTCGAGACCAGTCTGGCCAACATGGTAAAACCCTGTCTCTACTAAAAATACAAAAATTTGCCAGGCGTGGCAGTGGGTGCCTGTAATCCCAACTACTTGGGAGGCTGAGGCAGGAGGATTGCTTGAACTCAGGAGGAGGAGGTGGCAGTGAGCTGAGATCGCACTACTGCACTACAGCCTGGGCAACAGAGCAAGACTCCATCTGGAAAAAAAAAAAAAAACTCTGAAGGATCCAGCCCATTTTCCAGTTAACTTCCTGCCAAAAAAACTCAACACTTTGTACAAGAAAATAATATTCAAACTCTCAACAAAGCAGTATTCACAATGTCCAGATATGCTAAAAAATTAGTAGTGCTAAAGCAAAAAAAAAAAAAAAAGTGACTCATAACCAGGGAAAATAAACAATAGGAACAGATACAGAGATAACACATCTGTTGGAATTAGCAACCAGGACTTTCAAGTAGCTACTACAA